>NC_000011.10:31878181-32029696 GCF_000001405.40 Homo sapiens | reverse complement strand
CAAAAAAACTTAAAAGGAAACATTAGACATTATTCTTAAAAGCATTTCTTGGCCCAGCGTGGTGGCTCACTCCTGTAATTCCAGGATTTTGGAGGCTGAGCCCAAGAGCTGGAGACCCAGTGTGGGTAACATGGCAAAAACCCATCTCTACAAAAAATATAAAAATTAACTGGGTACGGTGGGTGCGCCTGTGGTTTGAGCTACTAGGGAGGGTCAGGTGGGAGGATCCATTGAGCCCATGAGGTCAAGGTTGTAGTGAGCTATGATTGTGAGACCTGTCTCCAAAAAAAAAAACAAAGAAAAGAAAAGAAAAATAAAGCACTTCATGTGTTCTCACTACTGGAAAGTTCTTAGAGGAGGGCCCGCTTCCATTGCTGTGTTGATGACAACTTCCTTTTCTTTATTTGATCTCCTCCCAGCCCCCAGCTTCCTGTTTGTTGCTGGATTGAACACTCGATCCTCTCTTTGTCCTCCTTTCCATGTACTCCTGCTGTGCCCAGGGGACCTTAAAGGACCTCAAGACCTATCTGCCTCCCTCTTCCTGAGAGGAATTCTGCTGTCATCATTGAAACTACCATGTTGGGTTTTCTGCCATCACACAGAAACAGTGAAGCAGTACACTGAAGGCCACTGCCCTCTGCCAGGAAAGCCCCTGGCATCTTGGGGACACGTGGTGGGGGTTGAGACACTCCCCAGCTACCTTGGTTTTGACCGAACTTCTGAGATGCTCAGTGTCATTCATCACGGACTTCTTTGGAAAATGGATCATTCTTTAGCTGTGGTATTTCCTGTATCTCACATGGAAGAAGCCATCTGCCCTCTGAGGTCAGATGTCTCCTTGGAGCCTCAGCCTGATATATGCACTGGGATTATGTCCGGTCCCTGGTCCCCAGTTTAGGGCACCACTTGGAAAGAACCTCCAGGGAAAACAGGAAGGAAACGCTGGCCAGAATTTTTTTGGATTCACCCATGGGAGTGAGGGTCCTGCCAAAAGCCAGATCCCAAGACTGGGCCCTTGCTGGGCCATGGAGAGGGCAGTGTGGGACAGTGTGGCTGGAAACAAGGAGGCATCCTCACTGGTGCAAAGACTTGGACACGTGGCTTCAGAAATGGGTCCTTTTTATTTAACAAATAAAACTGTATGTGTCAAATCTGGCTGGGGATAACATGGATTGGGGGGAAAGCTTAGTGAAAAGTATTTTTGAAAACTGTTTCTTTTTAAATTTTCTTTGCATTATAGTCTTGAAGATGTGTCACATCTGGATCACCTGACCAATAGGGAAGATGTTGTGAGGGAATTTCCCAGTTAGGAGAGATGCAGCCTAAGGACTCCTCTGCTTCCTCTCTGAAGATGTGACAGGTTTTCAACCAGAATTAAAGTATAGAATCAATACAAACCAGTGAGTCCCGGGAGAAAGAGTTACCACTTGACTTTCTCACGTTTTCATCCATGTAGCTACCTTTCATTGGTTGAGCGCCTGTCTTTTGCTATGTGCTATGCTGGGCAATGGGGAACTGAGAAGGGGTAAAAACCAATGCGCAGGAGGGAATCTCTTCTCCTGCCTCCACACTGGGAGCACAGTCAGGAGAAAGTAAAGAGTCATAGACACAGAAACAAATAATGATAACATTGTAGCAAAGAACTTCAGAGCAAGGCTTGGCTTCAGACCATGTGATATCAAACTCTACCTCCAGCACTTATTGGCTGTATGACTTTGGAAAAGTCACTTAACCATGCCTTGCTTCTTTTTCTTCATCCTTAAAACAGGATGACAATAATAATATCTATCTCATAGGGTCATTAGGGAGACAATGAAATAATATATGCAAATGTATGGTGTACAACAAGTATCTAAATGTTAGATAACAGTGTGTGGGTCACATAACAATAGAGAGATGCACAAAACATCATATGAGAGCACAAAGGAGGTGGGGTGGACATCTAACTCAGCTGGGAGGAATCAGGGAAGGCCTTTTAGAGACATTTCTCTAACTCTAGATCAGTTGGCTGTTCACATAGTGCATTCCTTAAGCAGTGGTGGTTTAAGTATTCATGGGAAAAGTGAGCAAACTTGAGTTTTACCGGGTCACTGGATTCTGATCCTGAGTGATCAACAAATTTCGACTCACTTGTTCTTTATTGGCAATGACTGATATCAAGGTTGTTATCTTGGGCAAGGGAAAGCAAATTTCTTGGTGCTGGTTGAGGGCAAAAAACCATCATCAGTGCTTCTTCCCATTACTACATCGCGAGCACTGATTCCTAAAGCCTCCTCCAATGCAGAATTCTATGGTTCCGCCAAGTGGAGAAATTCTGAGGCTTCGAGGCCACAGAACCTATCTCTTGTTCATGAGTTTCCTGTCCTGTGTATTGCTATAGAACTCTCCCAAAAGAATTGCCAAGCCAAGAGAAATTTAACTTCCTGATCCTCTTGAATACTCCAGTGAATTATAATCAAGTGGAAATGCATGTAATTAAGGTGGGTGGAAGGCGGGAATTGAATTATGGTAAAACTCATGCCTGCTGATGTGTTTGATGACAGAGGAGGAAATCATAAAGGGAAAGATGATGAATTTCTGTCTTTTCTCTGGGAATAACTGACTTAGAATCAATGTAATGAAAAATTGCAAGTGAACACAGAATGGCACAGGAGAAGGCTAAGTTTCTGATGGAAATATATTAGCTCACAGCAGAACCACACTTTCAATTTTGATCTCTGGGGGGGAAACACCACCAAAAATATATTATTTGGTGAACAACTATGATTATGTCACTTTCCTACTGAAACGCTCTCAGTGACTTCCCATTTCCTACAAAATAAAGTTCAAATTCCTGAGCATGACATTCAGGGGTTGTCATAACTCACCTCAAACCCTTTCACCAATCTTATCTCCTGTTCTCCCTAATGTGCACAAAAGAACATGTGTGCGCACACACACACACACACACACATGCCACACCCTAGACCATGTCAGACCAACTGCATTACTCACCTTTTCTTAAATATGCTGTTATGCTTGCTCATGCCAGAATGCCCCTCCACAATCCCAATTAGATTCCCACCCCACCTAAGGCCCACTTCAAATACTATTTCTTCCATCAAATCTTTCCAAAGCTAGAATTAATCTCTCTCCTCTCACTACCCTCATGGATTTTCTCTAGGTGGTAATTAACAACGCTTGTAGTGTACCTAATATGCCTATATTACTACTTTCACTGGTGGATTTTTTCCTCATTATTTTTCAAACTCTTTGAGAGCAAGAGCCATGTCTTATTTATTTTTGTAACTTTCACAGAGCCTGGCACAATGCTTAGCATGATATTAGCTTTTAAAATAAGTTCCCTTTTCGCTTTGGTTGACAGGAAGCTCAGAAGTAAGTTTTTGAGCTCAGTTAGAGAAGCTCTTCATTTGGATTTTCTGGGACAATGATTCCCTAGCTTTCTTATTTGATTTTTGTCCTTGAATTCTTTTTTATTGTTCTATTGTTTTGGGGCTTTTTTGTTTGTTTTTTGTTTTTTTTGAGACAGAGTCTTGCTCTGTTGCCCAGGCTGGAGTGCAGTGGCACAATCTCTGCTCACTGCAAGCTCCACCTCCCGGGTTCACACCATTCTCCTGTCTCAGCCTCCCGAGTAGATGGGACTACAGGCGCCCGCCACTATGCCCAGCTAATTTTTTGTATTTTTAGCAGAGACAGGGTTTCACCGTGTTAGCCAGGATGGTCTTGATCTCCTGACCTCGTGATCCACTTGCCTAGGCCTTCCAAAGTGCTGGGATTACAGGCGTGAGCCACCGCGCCTGGCCAGGGGCTTTTATTATAAGCTACCCCAAATCTATTTTGGAAGTGGGCAGGTGGAAATAATAGCTATACAGGTTGAATTGGAGTCAGTACTATATGATTAAGTTAAATGTAGACTGAAGTTATCAAATATTAGCATTGTTCAGTGGGCAGACTAGGGAGATAGAAAAAAATGAAAATCAGATCTAATAAAGATAATAATATCTTTACTGAGATTTGCAACTCCTTGCAGTTACTTTACATTTTATCTTCCCAAAAATTCTGTGAGAAATGTTTGAGATAGTAATCTTTTTTAACCTTCATTTTAGCTGTGAGCAGATTGCGGTTCTGAGAGGCTAAGTGTCTTTCTCAAGGTCACACAGTCAGAAACAGAGCTAGGTGTAGCTCTTTGAAGATCTTTCTTTTTAAGAATCTCTTTTTGTAAATATCAACCCAGAAACCTTGAACCATAACTAGAAGTCAAGGAGTCAGATGGGCTTTGGGGAGGATTTCATCCAGTGGCATCTACCTCCTGTGATTCTCTTGAATCCACTCTCCTCCATGTGTCGGTCTCACACTCAGTCTGGTAGCAGCAAGATAGCAATCTTCCTGGGCCTCAAAAGAAGGAAGATTCACTTCTGGGGGCTCTTTCAGAGCAAGATCACTCCTGGAAACCCCTAGCAAACCATCTTTGCATTCTATTGACCCAACTGGATCATACAACCATTCCTGAACCAATCACTGGCAAGAGGGTGGAGTTAGCCTCAGCCAATCAGATCCACCTGGGAGTGGAGTCAGTTTCTCTGAATCACAGGGATGGCAGAGGAGGTGGAGAGTAGGGTAATAGGGGATGGGAAAAAGTATTACTTCATCAAAATAGGAGTACTGCCGTTCTGTTAGTGCCGTCTGATAAATAAATACAGTCTCACCTTCCTGCTGTCTCATGAGGCTGTGCCTGAGACACTTTCTCTCACTACAGCTCTAATATATTTTCTTTCCTCCTTTCTTTCCCTGCTTCCTTCCCTCTCCTTCTTTATTTATTTCTTGCTTTCATTTATTCATCAAATATACTTTGCAGCTGGCAGTGGTGGCTCAGGCCTATAATCCCAGCACTTTGGGAGGCCAACGTGGGTGGATTGCCTGAGCTCAGGGGTTTGAGACCAGCCTGGGCAACATGGTGAAACCCTGTCCCTATGAAAATACAAAAAAATTAGCTGGGCATGGTGGTGTGTGCCTGTAATCCCAGCTACTTGGGAGGCTGAGGCACAAGAATTGCTTGAACCCAGGAGGCAGAGGTTGCAGTGAGTAGAGATCGCACCACTGCACTCCAGCCTGGGTGACAAAGTGAGACTCTGTCTCAAAAAAAAAAAAAAAAAGAGAAAAGAAAAGAAAAAATTTCTTTGCATCAGATGCTGTGCTGGATACTAGAGGTAACTTGGTGGTCAAGATGCCACTCTCCTTCCTGTGGGATGCTCTCTTCTGACTTATGTAGGCCAGTGTCCTGCAGATTCAGTGAGAAGCCCCCCTTCAGGTGTCCTGTAGAGAGGATCATCAGACAGGAGGACACGGGGCAGTCATGAGAGTTATGAGACTAATCAGGAAGTTTGTTTCATTTAAAGGAGAGAGCAGTGAGGCAAGGAAGACTGATTTTTGTCCACCCAGAACCGAAATACCACATTAAAATGCTTCCTAGCACCGAGAGAGTTTTGTCCATTAAATTTAATTAAGCTTTCTTTAGAATCACATGTCTTGGGAGATCTATGACGCGCAGGGGAGAAAGCATTTGCTTTTGCCAGCCTTTGCCTTGCTCTTTGCATCATTCTTTCTGACCAGAAAACCCCGTGCCTCTATTGTTTAGCAGAGTGTTCACATTTAGTGGCCAAATACAGGCATGTAGATCGGGGTAATTCTTCCTGTGGGATCCTTCTGCAGTTTCTGGTTTCCACAGCCTCTCCAATGAGAGCTTGGAGGTTCAGGTGCTTCATTTTCTCTCTTAAAATGCCTTTGACATGGATTTGTGTTGTTTCAAGAACAGCTTCGCTGCATCTCTGAGATTCTTGTATCTCTCAAGCAGCTCAAACATTCTGGAAGCTGTGATTCCTCCAAAGGGACCAGCTGGGAGAGGCATGTGCCCACGCCAGCCTCAGTGTGGGTGTGAATTCCTCAGTTCCAAAAAGGAGCAATTCTGTCTGATGGGCTGTTTGTGCCAAAGCTTACCCTGGCAACTTTCTTGGTATTGAAACCCTGGCATGCGGTGGGGGAAATATTTCAGTGTGTTTCCCAGCCCTGGGGACCTGTTCCCGTCCTCCTCTGCTTGGAGGAATATGCCACTCAGAGCTGCCACATTAATGCTGCTACTGAAGCCAACCACTGACACCTCAAATGACAGCTTAACACATGCATACACACACTCTTTTCTCATCCCCAAAATCACAATGCAAAGAGTTGAAAGGGCGAGGGCTCCAATTCACAACTGCCATTTTCCCAAGGGTGCTTCCCAAAATGTTAATAGGTACTGCAAGGGCCTAAGAGGAGACTCTGTGCTCAAATGTGCCTAAGAAATCATGGCTCAAACAAAAAATAAACAGGCTATTGCAGGGCTTCTCCAAGATTGTATTGGGTTAATTTGCACTGTGAAGGGCTAGGGGGTATGAGAAGTGACAACTACAGTTATTTGTGTTTTCCAAACTAATTTGGCCATAGAACCTTTTTTCTTTTTTGTTTTTGTTTGTATTGTTTGTTTGTTTGTTTGTTTTTGAGACAGGGTCTCACTCTGTCACCCAGGATGCAGTGCAGTGACACAATCGCAGCTCACTGCAGCCTCAACCTCCCAGGCTCAATCAATCCTCCCACCTGAGCCTCCCTATTAGCTGAGACTACAGGCACATGTTATCCTTCCCAGCTAATTCTTTTATTTTTTATTTTGTAGACACAGGGTCTCGCTATGTTGCCCAGGCTGGTCTCAAACTCCTGTGCTGAAGCAATCTTCCCACCTTGGCCTCCCAAAGTACTGGGATTACAGATGTGAGCCACCATATCTGGCCCCTTTTTTCTTGAATGTTACCTGGGACTGATATTCAAGGGAACATCCTTTTCAAACACACAAACCCTCCTTGATGTCTGCTCATTCTTCCTTCTACTATGAAAATACTCTATTTTTAGTGTTTCTCATTGCTTTTGTAACTCATTTTTGGGGATTCCTGGCCAACTGGTAGGCTTGACTCTCCCAAAGGCTTCTTTGCAAAAGAAATGAGTGACTTCCTGGGAGAGAATGCATCAAAGGGAAGAAGGAATGAAATAGACAAGTTGGACTCAGAGGCAAAGCCTTGGTTATCAGAAAAAAGATGCAAAATAAAACATGGAGGTATCTCTTGACTGGTTTTGTCTTCTGTGTCCCATCGAATACATGCCTTAGAACCCAGGAGAAGAGCAGGGCTAGAAGTAACTCTTGAGCCCTAATGCATGCCAGAGAAGCATTCTGGCATGCATTAGGCTCAAGCAGCCCTGCTGTGGGGACCCCTAGTAGGATTTAACACAAAAGAGGGATAGGAGCTTTCTCTCCTATCTTGAACAGAACTCTGTAACTCTGGTCTGTGCCTCAACTGAGCTAGAATGCCTATGGGGAGGGAGCAGTACCCAGTGGAAGGAGTTGGGAGCAGGAGGGTCAGGAACAAATAGCAGATAGAGAGATAGCATGTAGTCACTGACAGGTGAGCTGACCCATCTTGTTTGTACACACATGTGATGCTTCTGGAAAATCTTGAAGATATTGTTGGCCACAGTCCTACAGTAGCAAGTGGAGGCAAAAGTCATTTAGGCATCATTCACAATGAAATTATTTTGGTACTCCTAGACTTGGGAGGGATGGAGAAATTTGATGATTAGTTCTGATATTCATCTTTTAACTTTAATAGAGACTTAAATAACCATGTTTTTAAACAATAGAAAGTTTTGTGTCTCTGCTGCAGAATTCCAGGCCAATCAATGCTCCAGGAGGTAGCTTTGCCTTCAACGTGTTCCAAGAATCAGGTTTCTTTTTTCTGATGGTTTCACCATCTTCTATAGTCCCTCCCTAGGCCATAAGGTCAAAGCTGTCTCAGCACCACGTCCCCACTCCAGCCGGCAGAAAGGGGAAAGAAATAGAAAATAATCAACTTTCTTTAAAAATAGTCTTGACCTATCATAGGGTTTTTCTTTTTATTATTATTATTATTATTATTATTATTATTATTATTATTATTATACTTTAAGTTTTAGGGTACATGTGCACAATGTGCAGGTTAGTTACATATGTATACATGTGCCATGCTGGTGTGCTGCACCCATTAACTCGTCATTTAGCATTAGGTATATCTTCTAATGCTATCCCTCCCCCCTCCCCCATCCCACAACAGTCCCCAGAGTGTGATGTTCCCCTTCCTGTGTCCATGTGTTCTCATTGTTCAATTCCCATCTATGAGTGAGAACATGCGGTGTTTGGTTTTTTGTCCTTGCGATAGTTTACTGAGAATGATGATTTCCAATTTCATCCATGTCCCTACAAAGGACATGAACTCATCATTTTTTATGGCTGCGCAGTATTCCATGGTGTATATGTGCCACATTTTCTTAATCCAGTCTATCATTGTTGGACATTTAGGTTGGTTCCAAGTCTTTGCTATTGTGAATAGTGCCGCAATAAACATACATGTGCATGTGTCTGGTATTTCATGTTTATGTTATTTTTCAACATTTTAAAATTTCTCTCATTCTTAGTAAATTTTTCTTATTCTTAAATTCTTAAAATTTTTCTCATTCTTAGTAAATATTTGCATTTTCAAAAATCACTTTAATTTTAATTTGTATAGATACTTCAAATTTGGGATTAAATACACATTGCTCCATTAACTAAATCTTTTTCTACGTATACTATTCTGTAACACTATTGTGTTATTTTCCCCTTATTTTTTATATTTTGCTATCAAAATAGCACTGAATTGAGCATTCTCCTTTATAACTAATTACTTAGCTATTAATTATTTTCTTCATTTTAATACCTAGAGTTCATCTATTAAGGGATCTGTGAAACTGCAATCCTGACAGGTTGTACTGCTTTGCTATTTTGGGGCTACAAAATTGGACATTTTATTATACCCTGATGAGTACTGGATGTTATTTTCTAAAACATTTTCTCTGTTTGGCAAGATAAAAGTGTCATTTAATCTGAGCTATCGTGTATATCACAACAATGAATGTCATTTCATGTATACTATAATGTGTTTTGATCAATGGTAATTTGGAAATTTTTGTCCTATGCTATTGGCAATTGCAGTTCTTCTCTTGTGGATTTTTTGAACATGAACTTTCCAATAGGAAAATCAGAGTAAATTGGTTTTCAAAACTCCCTAGAGCATTAACATCGTTTGTGATATCTATGAAAATTTGGTATTGATTTCTTATGTACATTTTTATTTTACTTGTTTTAAATCATGTACATCATTGAAAGAAAACTATATTGTAGATTTTTGTGGCTTATGTTAATTGTTTGATGGATATAAGATCCATCTTGATCCTGAGATCAGACAATTTTTTCCTTCATATTTCCTATGTGTCTTATGCTCATGCAATGGCGGGTGGGGGTTATCATTGTATATGTGTTCAAATAGTTTGCCCTTTTTCTTAGCAATTTTTAAATAATTCTTATTTTTCGACAATTTGTGATGCTATCAATTTTCTACAAATATTTTGTTAGCTTAAGGAGTTCCCTCAGTGATACTTCTGTTTTGACTGGCTGAATTGTTCATTGTTTTGTATAAAATTCAACCATTTACATGGATTTATAACATGTTTTAAAATATGTCAAAGCAAGTTTCTCTTTGTTTTTCTTGACTTGTGGCACATATATAACATGGAATACTATGCAGCCATAAAAAATGATGAGTTCATGTCCTTTGTAGGGACATGGATGAAGCTGGAAACCATCATTCTCAGCAAACTATCACAAGGACATAAAACCAAACACCGCATGTTCTCACTCATAGGTGGGAATTGAACAATGAGAACACATGGACACAGGAAGGGGAACATCACACACTGGGGACTGTTGTGGGGTGGGGGGAGGGGGGAGGAGATATACCTAATGCTAAATGACCAGTTACTGGGTGCAGCCCACCAACATGGCACATGTATACATATGTAACAAATCTGCACGTTGTGCACATGTACCCTAAAACTTAAAGAATCATAAAAAAAAGTTTTGAAAAATTCCAAACATATACAAAGTAGAAAAAAATTAATCTCCATATGTGTACAATCCAGACTGAATAACTATTAAGATTCTAGTGCTTCCTTTTAAAGACATGATTTGAAAATTACACATATCACTTCTTCTCACATCCCGTTGGTAAAAATTTAGTCCATGGCTACATTGAGCTGTAGAAGACCTGGGACATGGATTTGGCCTGAGTACGTATAAATTACTAAATAAAAGAAAAGAAGATGCCTTTAATATAGATTGCTCTATCAAGATCTGCAAGAACAAAAGTGCCTTATGCTTGCCACCTGAAATAAGGTTTCAGGACTAGAATTCATCTCCATCAATAAGCCCACGGTAGGAAGTTGCATGATTTTGGCCTCAATTTAGGCTGAACAGAAATCAATGCCTGTACTCTTCTGCATGGGCTGCCAATGCTTTAGAAACCCTCTTTGGACATATTTGGTGACTGTGACTTAGACATCCTCTTGGAGAAAGCAAGAAAGCTGAAACCCAAATAAGGTCATATTTCTGGGTAAGCTTAAGTCATCTGCCTTTTTTGATTTGGGTCTTAGTTTCCTAGTTCATGAAATTGAATGGTTGCTGATGGTCTCATTTCTGAAGAGGAGGTACTTATTGAAGCCTTTTGTGACAGTATCATGGTAAAGTGGGAATTATGTTGAGGAAATCGTTGTGGTCAGTATTGGTTAGGATGCTTCGGCTACAGTGACAGAAATGCAAAATGGCTGACATAATAAGAAACTGTGTTTCTTATTATGTGTAACAACACCCAAAGGCAGAGCTGGCTCCAGGTTGGTTTAGTCTAGCAGTTTCAGCTCCTCTTTTCTGATATTCTCTTGTCTCAGTCCTCTTCTGCATCCTAGTGTCATTCTCTGGGTGTTATTGAAGTGGCTACAGTTACTGCAAGCCTGACATCCTGGGCCAGACAATGTCTAGAGGCCAAGAGACTGGCTTTTTCTATGGGTATCCCTTAGGAGAAAGGAAACTTTTCCAAGGAGCCCCCATGGACTTCCTTAAATATCTTATTGGCTCAAATGAGATCACATGTTTGTTCCAGAACCAACTCAGGTGGCCAGCGGAATGCCATGTTCTGATTGGGTTATACCTGAGTTCCTAATTTCTAAACCAGGAGGGAAAGCCTTCTCCTGGTGGATGGCTTGGACTGCTCAAAGTCCATCCGTGGACTTACAGTCAACTCCTGAAGCACTAGACTGCAACACAGTGGGGAGGGGAGCAGTGGACGTTCGAGAGAGCACCAGAGCACTTACTGCATGGTACTTTGATTTTACTTTATTAAAAAGATGTAAGAATTTAACTCAGAAAAAGATGTGCATGAGTCAACATCCTAAAGCACCATCATTAAAAACCTCATCCCCAGGATCTGTAAATTATTCCTTATTGCCAAGAGAATATTATATCATAATGATATCGCTAGTGAATCACAAAAAAACGAATATTACGAAAGTCTTTATGCTCATCTATTGGTTGACAAGGGAAAACATGAATTTAGCAAAAAAAAAAAAAAAAAAAATAGTATGCATGCCTTTGACAAGTTATCGTTTCTCCCTTGCCAACAGATTTTTCTCCCTGAAGTGAACTCATTTGTGAAAAGATTTTGCTGTCTTAGTTAAAAAACTATCCAAGGCTTGTAATATCTAAATGTCAAAGAACAATGGGATGCATGCATCTTGATTGCTACAGTAATTTGTACAAACCAAGGGGGGAAATTTACTGATACTGCAGGCGAATAAGTAAGTCTTTGGTTACACTGAAGATTTTCAGAGAGATATTAGCTTTCTACCAACATTAGGAGGAAGATATAGGACTTGAAGCCCTATATCGGATAGCCTGAAAATTAGAAAATAAAGGCAGACAGGCAGAGATCGAGGTATAGGCTTTGTCACTTGTGAGCTTATAACTTTAGCCAAGTTACTTAAGCATCCTGGGCCTCAGTTTCTTCATCTGTAAAATGGAAATGATAATGTCCATCTCCAAACATTTTGTGAAGATGAAAGGTAACGCATATAACTTAGCACAGTCTTTGGGACGTAGTTGGTGCTTAATAAATGACAGATGTTATGAAAATGAAATGTCCAGCGTATTTCAGAGGCCACTAGATGCTCTAAGAAGTGGGATTTTAGGTGAACCTGGGCTTGCTGGATCAATTAACTGTTGGCAGACTCCATCAAGCCAGAGACTGAGTTGGTGGTCTCCCTGCTGCCATTGGTATTGACTACACATTAGGAAGCATTTCTGAGTTTGAGTTTCTCTGTAGATTCATGAGTTGGCTGAGTAATCAAGGACCAAGGTTTTGTGTTAAGCAAAGCAGCATTTGATCTGAAAATGACAGCTAAGTCTAGAGCAGAAGAGTCTTTGGTCTGATATGATCTTGCTTTCATTTCTTTCCATCTCCTTAATGGTTCCTCAGTTGGTGGAATGGAAGACAGCACATTAAGATTTTCTTTTCAATTTGTTCTTTCTTTTTTTTAATCCCTCAATGTGTGCCCATCATTTTGTTCTTTTACAAAAAATTCCACTAAAATGTTGTTGAAAATGCATAGCACTTTGTAAAAAATGAAAAATCAAGCAATATGAAGAAAGTTTAAATCCCTTCATGATCCAAATTCCCCCTAAGATTGGCTCATATCATATCAGTCTTCCAGAACTTTTAAGCATATGCAAATATACAAAACTACACATATTTTAATGTTAATGAAAATATTATATATATATTTGGTTAGGAGGTTATTATATATATATTATTTCATTTGAATTATATATATAAGGTTAGAATATATATACATTAGGTTAGAAGAATATAAATTTTATATATATTAGGTTAGAAGAATATATATTTTATATATATAAGGTTAGAAGAATATATATTATATATATTAGGTCAGAAGAATATATTATATATATGGTTAGAAGGGAGGAAGAGAGAGAGACAGACTATTCTGTGAAGTACTTCCTTTCCACTTGGTGAATACCTTTCCATTTTAATGCATAAAGACCTATCTTCTTAACAACAATAGAATACTTAATCAATCTCTTAGATTTTGGTTGTTTCCAGTCTTTCATTATTAATTAAAAACAAAGGAACAAACATCTCGTGCACACAACTTTGTGTGCTTATTCACTGTTCTTGTTTTTAACTAAGTTATCAAACTTAAAAATGCAAAGAGGTCCTTGATCACAATATAGCAAATGTGTCTGACAGGTTGTGGACAAGTTGCCAAATTTTCTCACAAGTTACCTACGTGAGAAAAGCAAACCAAGCTAACTGAGCTTAGCTAAAATCTTGCCAGCTTTTGGGTCTTGCTGTTCAAGAAGCCATCTTTGGGTGTAAAGAAGATCCTGTCCAATGTACTGAAGTTCCTGCAGGTTTCCATGGGTTCTGGAGATGACTGTCACATGGGTTATTTCCAGAAATAGCCAAATTTTCTACATTGGGATTAGTCCAGCAGTGGCATCAAAGTGGACTTATGAGGCCAAAGCTTTTCCTGTCTTCCAGAGGTTTCACACAGCTACATAACACAAGGCTGCTGTTGTACGGGAATTGGGGGAGATAAATTCTTACTTCATTTTCTCAAATTGAGTTTTATTGGAGCAGTTTATTGTTGTTGATGCCAGCCAGTTAATTAATTTGGGGTATGGATATCTATATATACATACATGTACACACACACAAACACACATAATATAGTATTTTTTCATTTTTTTCTGAGCTTTCTACCGTTTTAGAAGTTCATGGACCTAAGAAAGACGTATTAACCCAAGTCAAAAACATGCCCAAAATGTATCTATCTCCTTATTGGTAAAAGCATTTCCATGGTATTCCCTTTAAGAGCAAGCCTCAGCTCTCACAATGTACTATACAAACGTATTATTTACTTCTGGTACATTAATTTTTGGATTACTTTGGGGGACAAAACACCACTGAAGTAGTGGTTTGGCTATAAACTCCCTTGACATCTGGCCAGATCTCCAAATAGCAAGGTGGTAATTGCTTTCAAGCTCTTGCCACCGAGATTTTTCTGGCCATCCCTCTCATAAATGGAAAAGTTAACATGTATACTTCTGTGGTAATAAAAACCACAACGTATCATAATATTTACCAAGCTGTGATAAGATAAAAGCTCACTTTGGGGGCATCAGGAATAATTTTCAGTACAGTCAATTAGGGAGTGGTGAGCCCTGCCAGCAGAACTGTTTATAGAGAGCTCAGCGGATTCCAGCCCCTTTCATGGCTCCATGGAAGAGGCGGAGATAGCTTCTAGGTTCTTCCACTCACGTCTTTCACACGCTAGTGCTTGAAGACATTGCTTACAGTGCATGGAAAGTTCAGGATGTGTTTTTGGGGACAGATTTGGGCTTCTCTTTGCTCCTTCTCGGGCTTTCCTATCTTCGGAAATGTGAACATCCTCCCATGGAGGCCCCTTCTCTGGGACTGTTATCCGGAACATGGGACACACCTGTCTAGTGGCAGGAGAGAATGTTCTAGGTGGCACCCAGTGCCTGGGCCTTAAGGAACATTGAAATATATGGTGAGAAACGTATTCCCTTCATAATTCTCCTTTAAGCCTTCTGATTATCCCAAAGAAAATCTCCATTTTTCTTTATCATCCTCTAACACTTGCTAACCGCCCTTTTGAACAAAGAATGCAGGATTCAGACTCAGCCCACCCTGTTTTCAAAACTGTTTATCTCTATCTCTGTCTCTTGTGTGTGTGTGTGTGTGTGTGTGTGTGTGTGTGTGTGTGTGTGTGTTGAATTTAGTAGTTTGGAACTCTATTTGTCTTTATAATTAGCTTCCATTTATAGCAAGCAAAGGTTATTGATTTTCTATTTATGGTAGCAATGCCAAATTTCCTTTGAGGGTACATTTAAGTGGAGCATTTAACTGAAAAATGACTCATTTAAAAATATCTTTAAAATAATAATACAGGTGGAACACAGATGTGGCAAAAGCCACCAAGGAAGTACAGAAATGTCCAAGATCTGGGAAATTCTAGGGGACAGTTCTGGGAATATTCCCAACCCTGCCCATCCCACCCTTTCTCTTCTCTTTCCTTCTGCCCTGCTGTCCTCCTTGCAGTTTCCAGAAGATGCCTTGTGACTCTGAGCAGCCACCCTTGGGGTTCCCTCTGCTGAAATGTTCTCCCCACCTTCTTCTAGTAATTTCTGCTTGTCCTACAAGAACTGGCTCAGGCATCAGGGTCTTCTCTGACCATCTCCCCCAGCCCAGGCCCATTATGTGCCCTTCTTGTGCTCAGCACCCAGCTTCCCCATCAAGGCGCTTCTCCCTCTGTATTGTCATTGCAGGTTGGCATGTCCCTCCCTCCGTGAGCACCTTAGGAGCACTGTGTCTGATTTATCTGCCTTCCCACTGGCTATGTGGTGCTTGGCACATGCTAGGAGCTGTGGCATATAGTTTCTTCTGTAGAAGTGCCTGGCATATACAAAAATGTTTGGTGATGAAGAGAATGGAGTCATGAGTATTGAAGAAGGAATTTCTAGCACCTCAAAGCTTCTCCACTGTTTTAAAATCTGCATCACTGAAGACCCCACCCACAGCCACTCAGGGAGTCCATGCACCTGTGTGTACTTGGGAAGCCACTGGGCTGAGGACAGGCCCACCATGGTGGTGGCAGCCTTCCCACTGCTGCTAAAGGATCCCTGGCCTACTGGTTGTTCATCTTCGTGTCTGAGGGCTGCTGTCATCACCCACACTAACAGGGAGCAAAGTGTTGCCTCTGAAGCTACTATAAGGGCCTTGGGGGGAACCACAGAGTGAGATACTGCCTGGGGACACAGCTGGAGATGCTGACACAGCATATAGTGGCTGCATGGCCTGTGCCTGCTTCCAGATGCTCTGGCCTGGTCTGTGAAGGATGCCCTAGTCCAGGCTTGGCAAACTGTGGAAGGCTTTGCATCAGGACAAGATTTTGCATCACAAGCCTCAGGGATGCAGCACCAGCCTGGGTAAATCTTCAGAGGGTCGGGGGAGGCAGAACCCAACACGAGTAGCTTCTCATTACAGAATGAATTGGAGAACACAAAAGGAAGAAAGGAAGGAAGGGCAGGAAGGGCTGTGTGCAGAACCTGGCCTCAACATTTGTGGGACTTCCTTCCAGGTACTTTGCTGATCTTTTTTTCTGTTAAAAATTACATTTATATTACAAATACTGTTTTGTACTCTGATTTTGTTCTTCAAAGTTTATCATTATAACTTCCATAAAGAATAATTTATATTACCTTTATTAGAAGGAAAAAAGTCATTGTCAAACACATAGTAAATGAAGAAAGAAAAAAGAGAAAAAAATGCATCTGCAATCCCCCCTCCAGTGTTAATATTTTGATATACATCATTCCAGTCTTCTGTCTCTCTCCTTCTCTCTTTCTCTCTCTCTGTCTCTCTCTGTCTCTGTCTCTCGTGTGTGTGTGTGTGTGTGTGTACGTTGAAACTTAGCCATAATATGTACCGTTTGCTGAATGCCTACTCTGTGCCAGGCACTTTGCAAGGCACTTTACTAACATATTCTTATTTCAGCTTTCTTCCAGCCCAATCAAGTATCATTACCCCCTTGACAGATGAGGAAACAGGCTCTGTAAGATTGAATGCCTTGTCTAGAGTTGCTCATCAGTCCATGAGAGTTGAGAGTTGATTTGGAATTTTTCGAGGTAAAGCCAATGCCCACCTCACCAGCGTTACTATTTTGATATGCATTATTCCTGTCTTAACACCTATACCTGCTCCCTCCCTACTCCCACCTTGTTTTTGTTTTTGATCACTTTATAACAGTCTAGATGGGTAGATTCCATAGTAGAGGTTCTCAACACTAACCATGGATTAGAAATGACTGGAGAATTTTGAAAAAATAAACACTGGTGCTGAGTTTCTATATCCAGATATTCTTATGGGGGCTGAATAACTGGTGTCTGCGAAGTCCGCCAGGTGACCCTTATGTGAAGCCAGGGCTGCGCTGCAATGCTCCTTGGTTTACTCTATTGTTGGAAATGCAGTGCTTGAAAACCAGATCAAAGTTCCAACCTAACTACTAATACGTAAAAACAAAACAATGCCTGGCCACTGTGCAAAGGCAACTTCCACCTTCATAAACCTTCCATGAGGCACAAAATTGAAAGCAAACATCAGCCCCTTTACATATGGCCTCCTATGAAGGTAAATAGGGCCAGGAGATGAGTGGAAACTGGTATTCAGAGTCCGTAAGTGTGAGCACCCAAAACCTAGACATGCACAGAGAATTTCAGGTCACTGGTTCATGTGTGCCTGAGCAAATGCTTAATTTCTTTTTTCAGACTTCAGTAATTTCTAGCAGAATATAGAGAGTTCATGACACAAACACATCTGGATTTGCGGGTTTGGACCTGAAATATTTGCAGGCCAATATGTCAGGCACAGATGTTGAATTGGCAGCCAGGGAGGTTTGGGGTGATCTCATTGGAGGCCCCATCTGGGGCTTTGCTTGAAGCAGCACAGCCTTCTCGGTTGATTGCAGCTGCCTCCCATACCTGGGTGCTTCCTCGCCCGCCCAAAGGCATTTTGTAGCCTTCTTCCTCTCGAGGGGCACCCAGAAGCTTGGCATGGCTGCATCTCATACAGAAAATGCCAAGAAAGTGAAAAGCGGTAGCTTCTTAAAGGAGATGGGTGTGACCCATCAAGGCTAGTCTGTGTCAGACTCATTTTTGGTCCAGAAAGAAGTTCAGGGAGCCTACAAATGGGGGGCAGACCTTCCTTCATTAGCATGGCCTGGAGGGTGAACCAGGGCCCTGTGGAGCCAGACAGAGCTGGGTCTGAATACAGATTCTACTGCTTTCTAGGCTTTTGACCCAATTAAGCAAGTTGTCTCACTGAGACTCTGTTTTATTGTCTGTAAAATAGGACCCATGAAAGCTACTTCACCAGTTGGTTCAGAGACTTCAATGAGTGGCCAGCAAGCCCAGAGAGCAGGGCTTCTTGCCCCTCCCTTCTTCTGCAAGCACCTGCTTCTAGATTGCATGTGATCATGTGAGATCCATTTGCTACAGCCAAGCTAGCAGTTCAGCGGAACTCAGTTCCACAGGGTTTTAAAGGCTCCCTTTATGTCAGGCACTGTAGTCTTCACAGTTCTGTATCTTTTTCCATCTCTGTATCATCTCTCATGCTGTTCCCTCTACCTAGAAAGCTTTTCTTCCTTATTTCTTCCTGTCTTCCTCCAGCCCATCCTCCAAGACCCAGTTCAGTTCTCACTTCTCACTTTGATTCTCCAGGCTAGACATCACCTCTCTCCTTCTAGGTTCCCGCAGTGCTTAAGCCAGAGGTTTTCAAACATTAATTTGTATTAGAAACACCCAGGATGCCTAATGCTTTGAGCTTGTTGTCCACATCCATAAGACAGGAATAACTATACTGCCCCTCTGATATGGTTTGGCTGTCTCCCCCCTCCCAAATCTCATCTTGAATTGTAGCTCCCATAATTCTCACATGTCATGGGAGGGACCTGGTGGGAGGTAATTAAATCATGAGAGTGGATCTTTCCCATGCTGTTCTCATGATAGTGAATGAGTCTCATGAGATCTGATCATTTATAAAGGGGAGTTCCCCTGCACACGCACTCTTTGCTTGTCGCCATGTAAGACATGACTTTGCTCCTCCTTTACCTCCGGCCATGATTGTGAGGCTTCCCTAGCTACCTGGAACTGTGAGTCAGTTAAACCTCTTTCCTTTATAAATTACCCAGTCTCAGTTATGTCTTTACTAGCAGCATGAGAACGAACTAATGCACCCTCTCAGAGTTGTTTGTGAGGGTCAGATGAGACATCATGTGTAAGATATTCAGCACAGGAGTGGGCACATAGTAGATGCACAGTAAATGTTGAGTAATATAAATATCATTGCAATTTACTGCAACAAATAATCATAGAATTCTGTAATGAAGCACATTCTGATAATGAGAAGAGGAGGAGGAAACACTCGGGGACTGGCAATTGAAAACAGCAGGATTGCAGAATCCAAAGGCATTCCTGGACCACAGCTTCTTCTGGAAATGTGGCTGCACTGCTCAGAGTTAATGAGTTTCTAGAATAAGGTTCTGTATGGAGGGAAGAGGTTTTAAGTGCCAAGTTCTATCCACTCCAATTCTCATGCACTGTAACCCTTGGCAAATCTTCTTCACCTGAGAGTTCTGATTCTGGCTCAGCTTTCTAGTGTGGTACCAGTTAATTACAGTAATAAGATAAGGCATTCTTGGGCAGCAGGGAGATGCTGGGCTAGTGTGGGACAGCAAGCAGGGGGAAAAGGGATTTAGTATAAGCCAGACAAATGGTATCAGAGAATCTAGGAGATGGCAGTGTCCACTCCAGTGGTCTAAGGGTAGGGGTGGGGCGAGAGGTTGCTCATGAGGAAGATGGGGAGGATATCAGCGCAATTATTTCTTGGGGGTCAAGGACCATCCCAATGTGTGACCGTGGGAAAGAAAATGGGGAAATGCACTGAATGAAGACAGAAGCAATGCAGACAAGATGAGACAATGTGAGTTTATATCGGGGCCATGAGTTACCCAGAGGCTTGTCTGGAGCAGTCCTCCAGGTACACTGAAGGCTCACATGGGTGCCTTTCCTAAGGCTGGATACAGTAGCCCAGCTGCCTTGGGCAGGGAGCCCCCCGACACACCCTTCACCAAAATGGCACCATCAGAGCCCATCCTGAGTCCTCTCTACACAGGGCCTCTGGTGACTCTGGAACCTGCTTATGGGTCCTGGAATCCAGAATTCCATGACTATGAGACGTCGAACACTACGAACACTAGGAGTCCTCCCTGTCTTTGAAATTAGCCCTGTTGACCCACAATCCTGTGGTTAGCATGAGATTTGGGTTGGACGGTTTCGAGGTGAAATCCCAGCTTTGCTGCTCCCTTGCTCTGTCTCCTCGGACAAATGACCTCTGCTCTCTGAGTTCCTTAGTTGTAAAACAGGGGTTATCACACTTATCTTACAATGTTTTGTTGGGATTGAATGAGAGAGGTGGAAGTTGTGTGATAGAATGGGGCTGGGGAAGCTGTGGTTGGAGAAATAAGGTCTTGGTTAGCAATGAACAATCTGAGAGCTACTTAGTTCATTTCATTTACTCCTCCCAACCAAGCGCACCTTTATCCGCATTTTATAGATGAGAAAATTGTGGCTCAGAAGGGGTAGGCAACTTGTCCCAGGTCACATGAGTAGAAAGTGGCTAAGCTGGCATTCAAACCCAGGTCTCTCAGGCACCGCAGCACTACACACCCTCCCACATCATGCATATAATGCATATGCGGATTTTCTTGTTTCCGAGCACAGCCAGTGTTGGCTGCTCCACGGGGCACAAAGCAGAAGAAACCTTGACTTGCTGAAACTCACTCTAAGAGCACTGCTTCTTGTCTCTTTCTCTTCTCATTTATCCACAGACCCCCCAGATGGCCATGGAGGTAGCAAGATGGCCAAGAATTTCAGTTAAAGAAAACTCCATGTGCTTTCTCTCCAAGATGAATGTGTATTTCCCAGGTAAAGCTGGAGCCCCTGATGCACAGGAGCAGTTGAGAGTGGCCTGGGCGGCCCCTGCATTTCTGAGGCAGTCCCAGCAGAGAGTTTGCCTGTGTTGTTATGTGTCCTTATTCGTTAAGGATTCTCTGTATTGAGATGCAACCTAATTAGGGTTGAGCTCAAAGGCTGTTCATTTGGGGGCTTAGTTCATAAAAGATTAATGTTCATTTTCCCTGGGTTTTGTTGCAGAATTCAGCTGGAAAAAATCCAGGGTGCACTTCTTCCAAGAGAAGTAGCACTTTGGTGGTTTGTGAAAATCCCTTTTCCCTCATGTTAAAGCCTTGATTTTTATGTCTCCCTCACCACTTCCCACACTCCCCACCCTAGCATTTTGATTTCTGGTGATGTATGAGAGAAAAAAATGAATTCTGTAATCAGGGAAATCTGTTGGAGATATTATTCAAAGTGAACGTATTTACTTACAGACAATTTTTTAAACAGGTGGCAAATAAAACAAAGCACATAGGAAAACAGTTCCTCATTCATTCATTTATTTATTCTCTCATTGAGCAAATATTTATTGAATACCTGTTATATGCCAGGCACTGGGCATTTACATTATATATTTCATCTGATTTTTCTTTTTGTGATTTGCTTGAGCAATTTAATTCTATCATTAAAGTGATAATGTGAAGTGCTTCCTACCTATGAATGGGTAGCTTCCTATAGTACTTCTGCTGAGAGAAAATCATATCTATCCAATGAAACAAATGTTAACTGTATTTTCTGATAACAAAAGTAATATATGCTAGTGGTAAAGATGTGAAACAATATGGACCGATTACATTTAAGAAGTAGCCACCTTTCATAATCCCAACTCCTAGAGATTTCCACTGTTAATGGACTGGTGTATATTCTTCCAGGTTTCGTTTTAAGCAACAAACTACAATTAATAATACAATTTTATTTACAGAAATGGAAAACAGCACTTCTGTTATGCAACATGTGTTAGTCACTTAATAACTGAACCTATTGTGGTGCACTGTCCGTGTGAGCCCCCAGAGAACCTCCTTGTTTTAAATGGCTGCATGGTGTTCCATTGTGTAACATCTTTATTCTGGCAGTTCTCTATTCAGGATATTTTGGTCGTTTCTAATTTGCTATTATTACAAGCAATGCTTCAGTGGACCTTCTTGTAGCCACATTGGGGTGTTTCTACCAGTATTTCTGTGAATAGATTCCTAGAAGTGGAGTTAATGAGTCCAAGTGATGAGTGCCTTTTTTTTTGCTAATTTCTTAATTGTTGTATGAAATGTCAAGACCATTCACACAGAAGACATGTTGTCTTCTGTAATCCTTTCCCTCACACTCCTTCCTTTCTCTAGTTCCACTCTTCTCAAGATATTTTTAAAGCAAGGGTAACAGGTGTTTGGGAAAATGGCTCTCTAGTTTTGAAAGGAAGCAAAAGTAGAACATAGCTGAATCTTTCTTGCTCTGAGCAGCTCTAGCTGCAGGTGAATGAACAAAAATAGCCTCTTCCCTTCCCTGGAGTCAACGTCCTTGTGAATTCTTGCTGACATGATCATTCCCCTGGGAGGGCCAAAGCCTGGATTTGCTTTTCTTTATATTCCGTAGGTGACCTGGCCAGCAGAAAACAATAATAATCACGGATGTTTGTGGGGGAAAGCATCATTTAAGCTTAATTAGTGACTGTGTTCCTCAAACAGACAGTGACAGTTTGAGTCTCTAAAACTCCTTTGAGGTAATATTATCATTGCAGGATACAGCATCTTAGGTCAGATGAGCCATTTCTGTGTTTGATAAACTTAGGAATAGAGTAGCTCTAGTCCCAATTCTTCAACTTCAAATACTTATTAACATATGTATCTCCCTAAACCCTGCACTTTACTAGTATATTTTTTGACATTTCTCTGTTAAAACTGAAAACACATAGCTGGATACATTGTAGAAATGCAAATCTTATCTATGTGGATGTCTCTAAAATTTTACTTCTGTGTTTCTTGGGCCACATTTAAATGAGAGGTCTGTGTCATCACAATTAAAAGATCCCAAGAGGACCTTCTCAAGAAGGCTGAAGCCACTGCCACAGAGCTTCCTCCTCCATCCCTGGCTGATTTTGCTATCTCTGTCCAACAGAGGGCAGTCCATTTCTCTCATTGGCCTGTTCACGTTTGAAAAACGTTCCTTAAAAACAGATCATTCTCAGCATCTCAGAAGTCAAGCACCTTTCTCTTTATCGAAATCATTCTCAGCACACTTCTAGGAATTACACACCAGTGAATATTCCAAACATAGGACGGACGTGGAGATTTTCTTTTGTTAGAAATACCTCCATTGCTCAGAGTCAAAACTAGGAACTGAGCAAAATTCGTGTCTTAAATTTGTGTTCTGAAGTTGTTTCTTTTTGCCGCTTTGGTTTTCTGCTTTTGTTTTTGTTTTTGTTTTTCTAAGTCTCACTATCCTGGCAGGTCAGGAGAGTTGATTTTGAACAATTTGGAATTACAAGTAGTTTAATCTCTTCCCAACACTAGTCATTATCAAGTTTTTGCTGTTATCAACTTGGATATTTCTCACTGTGGGGGAAAAAGAGGTTAGAGGCCTGATGAGTCACAGGGCTGGAAAGGGGGCCGGGAGCGAGGACACTTTGTGTTGTTGACGGAAGGGCCCGCCACTCTTGGAAGAAGATTTGCCATCGATAACAAACAACCCGCACCGTTTCCCTTAGGTTGGCACAATGATGTTCAACATAATGAGACGTCGGGTCCAGTGCCAATCCCTCTCTGACTGCTGGTTAGAGTTTCTATCCTTCCAACTCCACCACAAGGAAAATAGTGCTGAGGAAGAAACTGTCCTGAGAAGTCTTGGGGGAGAGCAGGGGAAAAGGCGGAGGAGAAGAAGCACTAACTGCCAGGGCGGGAGCTTTGTCCCCTCTGGGACACCGTCCAGAGATGGAAACTGGCATCCCGACAGGCCTCGCCAAGGCCACCTGCTTACTGGTGGAACAACTGAGACTCCAGCTGGGTTTCCGTTGCTTTCACTCCAGTGGTAGTTTGTCCCCCAGGCCAGTCCCCATGAAGCACTCCTGGTGTTCAAATCCCTGTGCAGTCCCCTCCCACCCTTCCAAACAATCTGGATTGTACCTGTGACTCACCCATAACCAACAGGATGTGGCAGAAATCACACTCTACTGCTTCCAGGCTTTAAGAAGGCATAGCAGATTCCACTTGTACACTCTCGCAAGCCATCTACTGTGTAAGAAGTCCAGCTACTCCACTGGAGAGAGACCCCTGCAGAGGCCGTGGCGGGTGAGGCTCCTGATGAAGACAGAAACTACGTAGAGGGGCATGGAGGTGCCAGGTGTGAGGGAAGAAGCCATTTTCACAGTCCCACCCGTGGAGCCTCCAGATAGCTCCAACACCAGCTGCCGTTTGATTGCAACTGCATGAGCATCCCAAGCCAGACCAGCAGACTGTCCCACTGAGTCCAGTCAACTCACAGAATCATGAGAGACAATAATAAACTATTGTAAGACATTTAGACTTTGGGTGGTTTGTTACACAGTGTTACATGACAGAAGCGCTCCCCCTATTACTTTAGCACTCTCTGGCTGGATGGTCTTGATACCCTATGAGACATAGAGGCTGGTTGTCATGGGAACCAGGTTTCCTGCTCTGCTCCTGCTCACGAAGGAGGACTGAGCGAAGATGGTGCAGAGAATAGGTTCTCTGCTGCAACCCAGGAGTCCTCGGTTCTAGGCCTGGCTCTGGCATCAACTAGTTGTGTGACTTGTGCAAAGAAATGTCCTTACTTTAAAAAGATGATAATTCAACTCTTAGGGTGGATGCCACCTTTTCCTTTCTTTGTATGTGGCAGACATCATGAATCAATTGTGGTTTTAATGAGCCTAGACTTGGCTGCAGAATCCTTCTCAACACAGACAGCTCCCACCTTCTGATCAGAGTTGGCTCATCAGATGAATCCCGTTTGTTACCTCTGGACTAGATGATTTCTAAGTCCCCTTCTAGTACTTTCAAAAAATAAATTATTAACTATGGAAAGAAAATGGATTTGGAGAAGGGGAAGTCATTTATCGAAACTCCTCATTGGTTTCTCTTTGCTTCAGAAGAAATCTCTGCTCCTTAGAAGGGTCATCAAAACCTTGTGTGATCTGAACACCGTCTGTTTCTTCAGCCTCATTTCCCGCGGTTCCTCATCTGTACCCTATACCCAGACTCACAAATTTCATGCTCTGTTGTAGTGATTTCTTTATAAGCTTGTATGCCTGCTTAACTTGTCAACTCCTTAAGACCAGGGACAAAGATTTCTTCACTGATATACATCTCTAGCACCCTATATGTACCTAGAATCTATTACATCTAATACTGTGAGGTGGGTGACTTATGAATGAATTAATACATAGTTAATGACAACCACTTCATTTATTAGTCTTTTGGGCTGCAGTCTTTCCCAGGCATCCCAGCAAAGGATGGATGCCAGCTTTGATAGGTTTGAGCTTTGCAACTAGAGCCCCTCCTGAAACCAGGTCCTGCTGGGAGTAACCTAACAGCTTCCACAGAGTCTTAGAAAATTCTTGATTAACGTTACCTTAGATCAGGGCCATAAACTCAAATGCCTGCAGGAGCTGGATGGATAAAGTAAGAAAGCAAAGTGGATGCACCCCTCCAAAAGTGTGAGCCCCTCTGGCACTCCTGCTGATGGTTACCATGTGGGGTTATGAGTCTCCAAAGTGCCCTCTCTCCCCAGCATCTAGAATAATGCTTGGCACTTAGATGTTTATTGAACATATGAATCATCCTGCCCCCCTTTTCAGAACTGCTGGAAGAATCAGTGAAGAAAAATGAGAAGTGAGGAGGGAGAGGCAGAGGAAGAGGAGACAGAAATTAACTATATGTTATTGAGGGTCTACTATATGGGCAGAGTGAAAGGAGAGTTTTCACCTCTATTATCTTGCTAAGCCCTTACAGCAAGCACATGAGCCGGATTTTACAATCCCTGTACAATTAATGAGAGATCTGAAGCTCAGAGAAGTTAAGTATATTGTGTAAGGTCACACAGCTAGGCAGTGGCTAAGCTAAGGTTTGAATTCAGCTCTGTCTGCCTTTATGCTTGTCTCACATTTAGATAGCTCAAAACTGCAATCTTTTATATATTTTATTTAATAATTATTCTGGAAGTCTGTCTTTTTTTGTTGTTGCTGTTTTTATCTTTGTTTACAGCTGGTTTTTAAATATCCATCTTAACATAAGCTAGCTGGTCAGAATCACATCTTCTAAAGCTGGACCAGTGGAGGGAAGATGCTTCACACATTAGAAATGGCAATGGTCTTGGAGTGAAAACATGTGGGTACAGCTATCCTTGATTGGCTGTGTGACCCTGGCATGCAACAGCGTCCATCAGAGCCTCAGTTTCCTCATCTGTAAAACGAAAACATCAGTTAAGTGCTCGTGTCCTTCTCAGCGCTGCTACAGGGATCCACTGCAGTGGTGCCTGGAGCTGCTCCACACCAGCTGCCAGCACCAACATGCGTATGAGGCTGGCTCAGAAGGCTGCAGGGCCCCTGGGAATGGAGGCAGCCCTGGGGACAGGCCAACAGCCCCGGAAGAAGGCCGAGTGTCTGAATAATGAACGTGTTCTTTAAATGGAGTTGTGGCCCTGTGGCGTGCTGAGAACTCATTTTCCACAGTTCACTATTCTCCTAGTCAATGGGGCTTGACTTGATTATCCCTCCTCCCAGCTTCAGGAGATGTGGGCAACATTGGAGATTTGTTAAAAATTAGCTAAATAAAATCATCCTCTCCTCCTCAGCAATAGTTTCTGTGAGTGATGGGGCTTTCACAGGGTAATTTTGTAGGTGGATATAAATCTGAAAACAGAAAATACACCTGTCATATGTCTACATGTAGGACTGTGAATGTTGTGGATAGAACACCCATACTTAGAGGGGAAAAAACAAAACAAAGCACAGATCCCGAAGACATAGTCCCCAAACCAGAGTTAACCTCATTGCTGGTTTCACAGTGACTGCCAAACCCATCTCTCTCACACTCACCCATTTTGGCCACTGTCAGGCAGACATTAGTGCTGGCGTTTTTATTGTTATATGTATTAGATTGTCTTGAAATGTTTTAAAGAAATAACATTTAAAAATAAATTTATGAAAATGTCCTTTAAAAGTAAAATTTTCAAATAAAGGAATAATCTATTTTTTCAGCTTCCAAAAGTCCACTGTGGAAAATTTGTAAAATGTGGAAAATAAAAATCACCCACCACCATCTCACGCAGAAATAACATTTTTTGCCACGTCTTTTAATGTGCCCACATAAATCTACATATAAATGTATGGGCAAAATCGGATCACGCTGGATAGATGATTTTCTGCATTGCTTTTTTTACCTAATATTGTGATGTGAGCATTTTTCTCCCTGTATTGTTGAATAGCTTTTAAAATCATGATTCTTAGTGGTTATGTAATTTCATGAGATGGTTGGAAGATGACTTATTTAAATACTTCCTGGTTGTTGGAAATTTAGATTGAGTTAGAATAACTTTTCAATGAAAGAGGAAAAAAATGCTAGCTATTCATGAGGCAACAATGATTTCTCACCCTATATGAGCAACCAGTAATAAACGTCAGCAACACCATCTAGCATGTGATGAAAGTTCCAGAAATGGCAGGAAATGGATGGGGAACTCGTAAAGGATGAAGTGAGTTATTAGTGTTTATTATTTATATGGTACAGTAAATATATACAGCACAGGACTAAGCATTTGCTTGTCAGTGACATACAACCAGTCCATGGTGCCACAGAGCTTGGACAATGCTGAAATCCACGAATCAAGGCAGCATCTTTAGAGGACATGGCGAGTCAGCCATTCCCGTTGGAAGGGGCCCTACCGAACCTTCTCAACACCAGTACATTTCCTTTGCCTTGGAATGACTTTCACTTTCAAGGACAACACCTCTAGTCCCCTGACAACCTCAGGGTGTGTGCATGCGTGTGTGTGTGCACGCAGGCACGGAAAGGAGGAGGGAGCAGAGTGAGGTAAGTACGGATTTCCTTCCTATCTTCCATAGTTTTGCCTCTTGGGATGGCAGCTTTCAATGGCCACGTCCTGATCCTTGTGAATCTGAGAATCCCAACAGACCAGAAAGCCTCTCCTGCTCGTGCACGTGAGACAGGGATTCTTACCTCTAATTTACAGTTAAGGAAATAGAGTCAAAGAGCAGTACAACAACTTGATCAGGATTTCTCTTTTCAAATGACAAACCAGGACTCCAGCTCAACACCCTAAGTCCCACGTCAGTGATGACACCCCAGCTGACTCCCTAGGACAGCATTTTTGAGTGTCTGTTTTGAGTGTCTTTCAGGCTCTGTTCCCTTTTCCCGTTTACACTTATTTGGAAGTAAAATCTCTTTGATAAAGTAGGGAGAGGGAATTTAAGAAAGAAACTCTCTCTCATTCTTAGACCTATAAATGGGGCTTTCCTCAGGCTCCCCAGCCATCTCAGTCTCCCATCCCTGCTTTATTTTTTCTCTAAAGCACACCTCCCATCTAACACGGTATAGATTTTACTTCAAAACCAAAATATCTCCCCATTAGAAATAAGCTCCCCTAGAAGCAAGTCCTTTCAAAGTAGCGCAGAGACTGTAGAATGTAGTAGTAATAGCCACCATTTTTTGAGTACCTGCTAGGTGTCAACAACTTTCCAAACATTAATTCTAATTCTTGGAATATTCTGGTGACAGGTAAGTATTCTTCCTGCACTTTTACAGGTGAAGAAAACAAAAGCTCAGAAGGGTGGTAGGAGCACTTCACGGTCACAGAGCTCAGATGGCGGCAGAGATGGGATGTGGTCCAAGTCAGCCCGAGTCCAAAGCCGTTCCCCTCATCTTGCTTGGCTTTTAGAGAGACAATTGAGGAGGGACAATTGGGTCACTTTGGCATCCAACTGGATATTTCCTGCCTAGTGTCTAAGTGATGGGGTGGGGATGAGGAGTAAGTCCGGGGTTCCAGGACTTCTAGGAAGTGCTTCTAATCCCGACAGGCTGCTCAGACATCATTTTGTCCCAACTGGCAAATCCTTTAGTTTCCTTTTTTTTTTTGAAATGCCTTGGCTCACTGAAACCTCCGCCTCCCGGGTTCAACCAGTTCCCCTGCCTCAGCCTCCCAAGTAGCTGGGATTACAGGTGCCTGCCACCACACCCGGCTAATTTTTTGTATTTTTAGTAGAGACAGAGTTTCATCATGTTGGCCAAGCTGGTCTTGAACTCCTGACGTCTTGATCAGCCCGCTTTGGCCTCCCAAAGCACTGGGATTACAGGCGTGAGCCACTGTGCCTGGCCTAGGTTCCTTCTTTCCCTGAAACAGCTCCTTACCCTTTGAAGGCATAGACTTGGACTCTCTCAAAGTTGCTTATGAGTGGGCTTATCTGATTCTGTTCTGGGGGCCAAGAGCCAAAGATCCCTTGGAACATTGGGCAACATCTAAGTCAAATTCACCCGCTTCTACACAGCCTCTCGGCTAGAACCAAGCCTGTGATACAAACATATTCCAAAACAGAGACATGGAGAGTCTTTGCAAAACAGCCTAGAGAATCTCAGCTTGCATCGTTTCTAGCAGAGGCACTGTGTGTGCCCCGCATGCATTAACCCAGAGACAGGCAGTTAAGTGCCCCTTGGGGAACCGGATCCAGAACCATAGCTTTATTCTTTGCCAGCTCCTTTAGCTGTGTAGATAAATGTTTTCAATCCTCCCCCAAACCACCACCATCTTTTAAAATAGCACTTGAGGCTTGGCGCAGTGGTTCACGCCTGTAATCCCAGCACTTCGGGAGGCCGAGGCAGGCAGATCACAAGGTCAGGAGATCAAGACCAGCCTGGCCAACATGAAGAAATGCTGTCTCTACCAAAAACACAAAAATTAGTGCACGCCTGTAGTCCCAGCTACTCAGGAGGCTGAGGCAGGAGAATCGTTTGAACTTGGGAGGCGGAGGTTGCAGTGAGCCGAGATTGCATCACTGCACTCCAGTCTGGTCAACAGAGTGAAACTCCGTCTCAAAAAATAATAAAATAAAATAAAATAAAATAAAATAGCACTTGAAGATGTTAATGAAACAAAATCTTACCTGGCAACTGAGTTTGCAATCCAAACAAGATGGGGATGCTTGCAGAGGTGGAAGTCTCCTTCCAACAGGCCAGCCCAGCCTTTTTTCTCTCCTTCAACTCCAGGCCTGTCTTCTTCTCACCAGACCCCCAGGAACTGCTGGAAAATCACTGCTCTAGATCATCCGAGCCAGGAGAAGTTGCCTGCTAAAAGCCTGGAAGCGGCACAATGTCACCCCACAAGTCCCCATCTCCATTATAGGTAGGAGGTGGAACCACTGAAAAAGGTATTCAGGTAAATTCAGGTAGACAGCAGTTGTGATTCTGCAAAAGCCACATTTAAGCCAACATAGTCCCTTGTGTCTCGGACTGTCAGAAGCTACTATTGGCAGAAGGAACTTTACTGGGTCACCAGCATGGGCCAGGAGAGCACAAGAAGGAGGAATATTACATGGATTTGGAATTGGTGACTTTTCCATGCCATGGCCCTCATTTTTCTACTCTGTCTTGCTATGAACTTCAAAATTTTTATACTAACTCAGAGCAAATAAAATCTTGGATTAAATTTTATAATTTATATAGCTGATTTTATTCATTCATTTATTCTGCAAATAGAGTGCCTGTAATGTGCCAAGCTCTGGTCCAGACACTGGAAAAATAGTAGTGAACAAGACAGATGAAAATCATGAACATTTTATAGCTCAGTCCTAATTTTGACAATTACAAACAATATTTTTCTCTGGGAAGCGGGGGGCACATGTCACCCCATACCTTCTCCCATATGAATGCCCAAAAGCTGACCTTTCCTCTTGGAAGGAGACTTCTTATTCAAAACTGCTTCATGCCATCAGAATGGTTATTTTAAACTGCTCTTTTTAAAAAGCGTATATTCAGATTTGCTGCGCCACTTAGAACACAAATTTAAAACAGTTTGTGATCAAATGGCATTTTTTAATTTGTCTTGATTCATGTGAAAGTAATTTGAATTCACATTAGTATTCTGGAAACTGATCATTAACACTTTTTAACTGATTTTGTAAACACATTTTGCTTCCAAAATAAACATAAACAGGGAAGGAGAACGCTCAGTGTAGCTGAGGCATGAAGACACACACCCATTAAAGGGTAAAGGCAGAATCCCCAGCGTAAAATGGGGAAGGCGTTTGAGAGTCATTTCATCACCAACTTGCTTCATGAAAAACCTGCAAGAAAAATGTGAATAATTTCATATTTGCCTGATGGGGGAATTTTAAGCTGCAGAGTTGTTTATGTGTCTATCACGGATCATTGCAAATAATTAAGATGGGTTGGGAGGTGGGGACAGATAAACATTTGATAAGGCAGGAGGGGAACTACATGTGGCAGGAATGAGCAAAATGGCTAGGCTGCCTTCATGCTTAGCCAGAGTGGGAGATTTGGAGATACACAAAATTGGAAATGTTTTGTGGTCCAACTCTCCTCCAGTCAATGCCTGGATCCCCTACCTACGTTCACTGGGGTGCTGCCCAGCCTCTACCTGGATCCCTCCAGGGCAGCTCAACTGACCTTCCTATGACACTCCATTGACCCACATCCTTTAGTTCCCAGCAGTCTGGCATTCAAATATGCACCTTCCAAATAAGCAAAAAATAATTGCATATTTACTGATTTAATAGGAATCTAATTCGTAAGCCCCCAGTAACACTCTTGTATCCCCTTTTCCTTCTCCTGGTCACCTCATATTCCATACTGTCCTAGGCTTCCTTCTCCAAACTCTCCCTAAATGCCTCCAACCTACTCTAACTCCAGAACCTCTGGTGCTTCTCCACCCGTCATTTGCAAAAGTACAAAGAACTCTGGAGTCCTCCTAGAGGATAGGAGAGGAAAAGGAACTCCTTAAATAAGACCAGGCTATTCATTCTATCAAGCTTGTTATATGGAATTGCAAGATGACTTAGTATAGCTTCCAAATGACAGAGCACACTTGATTCAGGAACACAGATTTGGGAGTCAGGCATACTTGGGTTTCAGTCCCAGTCCTGTCACTGAGTAAGATCCTTATCTTTCTGAACTTCTCTTTTCTTATCTGTATAACAGGATGAACGATGTTTACTTTATGCAGTTGCTATACAGGTGAGGTGTACATCCAGCATTTGGCACAGTACATTCATTAAGTGGATGGCAGACCTATTCTTAGCATTTCATCTTTCCTCTAAATGTCCAGCGTAGCCTAGTGCCAGAAATTTTCTGAGCTTCTCCTTCCTCAGTATTAATCCAATTCAACAAACATTGCCCGAGCACCTATCCCTGCCAGGAATTGTGTGGGAGCTGCAGATTAGGTGACAAAGACAAGGTCCCTGTTTCTGAAAAGCACTGACAATTACTTGTGACTTCATACAGAATTCGTGGAATAGAACCAAGGAACTAAAGTTTACATCAACAGAATAACAGGAAGATAATCTGCTTCAAAATGAGCCCCATTGTTCTGTCTCATTGCTTGAGTTTGGTGACTTAAAAGACAAGATCCTCTGCTACCACTTAGCTATAGGTGGGTCATTGTTGAAGCCTTAGTTTCCTCATCCGTGAAGTTGGGATTGTATAACTTGCCTTGCCTGTACCTCTAAGCCTTGGTGGGGAAAGAAATAGGAGGGTGAACATGATTTAGAACCATACTGTGCCATAAACGTTTGCTGCTATTGTTAGTCCCAATTAGAGTGAGCCACCCAGGATCTCCAAATTCTCTTCCAGCCTACCTTGACATGCTAGAGAAGTAAAGCCCCATGATGCCCCAAATGCAGGAATACTCCACTGGTCCCCTGTGATGGTTAATATTGAGTGCCAACTTGATTGGAATGAAGGATGCAAAGTATTGTTCCTGGGTGTGTCTGTGAGGGAGTTGCCAAAGGAGATTAACATTTGAGTCAGTTGACTGGGAAAGACAGATCCACCCTCAGTCCGGGTGGGCACCATCTAATCAGCTGCCAACACAGCCAGAATAAAAGCAGGCAGGAGAACGTGGAAAGGCTAAACTGGCTAGGTCTTCTGGCCTCCATCTTTCTCCTGTGCTGGATGCTTCCTTCCCTCGAATATCAGACTCCAGGTTCTTCCACTTTTGGACTCTTGGACTTACACTAGTGATTTGCCAGGGGCTCTTGGGCCTTCAGCCATAGACTTCCCTACTTTTGATGTTTTGGGACTCTGACTGGCATCCTGGCTCCTCAGCTTTCAGATGGCCTCTTGTGGGACTTTACCTTGTAATCGTGTGAGTCAATTCTCCTAATAAATTATATACTATTAGTTCTGTCCCTCTAGAGAATGCTGACTAATACATCCCCCAACACCTATGTTGCCCTACCCTAATGAGGCTCGACACTACTCTCAGCTGTCTGCCTGCAAGAGTCAGGACTCTTTGGTTTCAAGTGACATAAACACAACTCAAACTATCTTGAGGGGGAAAAAAAAGGAATGCATTGACTTGTAATATCTAAGAAAGGGCTATGTAGAGCATTCAGGAGACACAGGGCTGCTCAGAATACAAAGCCTTCTTTCGGGAAATGCTCCTTCAAGCCACATCATTTCTGGAAAGGACTACCAATCACACGCTACTTCTCTCTGGCCAAGATGATTAGTCCAAGACAGACATTGTGGCTGACGCTGATGGTGCCTGTCTAACCTGCACAGCGGGCAAGCTAGAAGTGCTGTGGAGTTAACTAATGCTCCCTGAGCAACAACCAACCAATGAGGGCAGGAGTTGATGCATAAATACTCCAGCGTCTTACTCCTCAATGGGTGCATATTGGGGCTGGGACTTGGAACAAAATTTAAGAGAACACCAAAAAAACTCCATAATCAAGATAAATCAGGTTCTGATGCAATATGTTGAAAAATCAAAATTAATGCAAAAATTCAGTGTGTATAAAATACTAACATTTTAAATAAAATCAGTACTGATATTTCTGATTTTTCCTTTTGCCTTATGCTCTAATATGGCTCAGCTGGGCATTTGTGTGTTTCTTTTAACTGCTTGTTTGCAAGTTCAGTAGAAAACGAAAGTGGAAGCAGCCTTGAACAGAGGCTGAGATGTCCTCCTTGTCAGGCTTCTAACTGGGTCAACCTGAGTGCTGCTCCAGCTCAGGGTACTATGCCTGGTAAGTGCTGCCCAGAGCTCCTTGGGAGGGGCAAGGCAAGAGACATGTGAGCACAGTCTGAGGGACATATGGGCAGTTTATTCTTTGATGTCCTTGGAAGAGTGGTCATAATTTGCGTGATATAAGCCAACAACCAAGATAGATAAGCCTCAGGAGAGCTAAGGTCATTTCAACTAACAAATCACTTGCTCCATAGTGGAGAAAGCAAACTACAGATCCATACACAAACATGGTAAGTTCATGGGAAAAGATTTTAAGTCAGTTCTCTCTCTCCCTGTCCTTTACATCTCTCTCTCTTTCTCTCTGTCATTTACATCTGGGGGAACCTTTGCCAGGTAACTGAATAACACAAAGCAGCATCTAGGAGAATGGCTTCTTTCTTAAGCACACCCAACATGATGAGATTACCTAGAGATGAGTGCTTCTTTTGTGGGGAGAATTTGATCTGTGCACCATTACAAACCAGGCTTGGGGGAAGCCAAGCCCACAATCAGAATGTAATTGAAGTATGTTACCTATAATAGGTTCAGATGTTTGTGATCTTCAGCACTTTATGAATTCTGCAGCAGATGGGCGAGGGCCAGGTAGCAGGCAAGAACAGACTGGGTTAGGCAGGCTGGCACTCTGACAAGGGCAGCCACAGCTGTGGTTCGGGTGTTATTCAGCACGCCCACCCACCGCACCAGCAGCCTGTCTTCCCCAGCTCACAGCCACGGCCGCCTTAATGAAGAGTGGAGGTAAGCATGAATCCCGGCTTTCCAGGGATCACAACATTTGAGAAACCCAGAAGAATCAACATGATGGAAATGGTGCCAAATTCTTTTGCCTCTTGCTTTTTAACAAAAAGAGAAAGAAAGAAGGAGAGAGGAGAGAGTGAACCTGCTAATAAAATGTGCATCTAAACGCTTTCCATTTTTCCTGGGCTTTTCATGTCTTTCCTCAAAATTTCTGTGCTGGAAGAGGGAAAGCAGAGTAAGCACTGATAAAAGAATATTGAATGGGATATAAGAATTTAGGTGGGCCTGTGTAGTGGACAGGATGCTGCAGGTGCAGTTTCAAATCCTTGCCCTGTTCTTGCCCCATTGTGTAACTTTGGGTCAGTTCTTTTTATTTATACTTTCATTTTTATTTTTTTTGAGACAGAATCTCACTCTGTCACCCAGGCTGGAGTGCAGTGGTGGGATCTCAGCCCACTGAAATCTCTGCCTCCTGGGTTCAAGAGATTCTTGTGCCTCAGCCACCTGAGTAGCTGGGATTACAGGCATGGGCCACTGCACCCTACTAAGTTTTATATTTTTCGTAGAGATGGGATTTCACCATGTTGTCCAGGGTGGTCTCAAACTCCTGGCCTCAGCATCCCAAAGTGCTGGGATTTACAGGCACGAGCCACTGTTTCCTACCTTTGTTTAAAAAATTTATTTTGAGGCAGGGTCTCACTCTCCCACCCGGGCTGGAGCGCAGTGGTGCAATCATGGTTCACTGCAACCTTGACCTTCCAGGCTCAAGTGACTCTCCCACCTCAGCTTCCCAAATAGCTGGGAATATAGCCATATGCCACCACACCTGGCTAATTTTTTTTAGTAGAAACGGGTTCTCTCTATGTTGCCCAGGCTGGTCTTGAACTCCTCGGCTCAAGCAATTCTCCCTCCTCGGCCTCCCAAGGGGCTGGGATTATAGGCATGAGCCACCTGGACTGGGCCAGTTCTTAACCTGCCCCGCTCTCTGTTTCCTCATCTTTCAGGTAACCAAAATATAACACCTGTCTCACAAGCTGTTTGCTTCATGAAATAAGGTAATACGTCAGTAGCTAATATTTATTGGGCACTTATTATGGGGTCAGATTTTATGTGTCAATTCTTTTAAATCCTCTTACCAACCCTGTATGTTAGGTCATGTTATGATTCTTACTTGTAGATGAGAAAACAGAAGACAAAGAATGTAAACAGTTTGCCCAAGAATCTAGCCAAGAAGTGGTGGACCTAGATGGAACAATGCCAGCTCTAAAGCACACACTTGGATCTACTGACTCCTAAAGGTCCCCGGGTCCTTACCTACAATTCCAAACTCCAAAAAGCTCTGAAAACCACAAGTTCTTCTAACTTATTTAACAGTAGACCTGGATTTGACCTGAATTATTCAGCAGCAAAAAGTCTTCTGAACTGACTTGAGGTTACTTCTAGTTTTTATTTGTCCCATTTGATGTAAATACTCATACATTTTCACAGAAAAATATATCAGTTTGCTTGTTTGATCGTGAGGTTCTGTCCCAATTGCTGCTGGGAAATTAAATTAGATATTCTTTATAAAATTTGGACTTCCTGAATTCTGAAACCCCTCTGGCTGCAATCATTTCTTTGTAGCTTTGTGGACCCATGCTTTCTTTCCGGAGCGGACTCTCAACAGGAGTTTGATGACACCAAGGTTGCTTTACAATTCACAAATGCAATTAGTTTATCTGTTTCTAAATGTATTTGTCTGGGCATTCATTTAACAGATACTTACAGCATGCCTGCTGTGTACTAAGTCCCATTTTAGGCGCTGTAAGCAGAGTGAGCCAAATACATGTTTTCCTGGCCCACATAAAGCTTATAGTCTAAGAGAAATAATAACAGGGGAAAATAAAAGGACAACATATTTTCACAATAGGGTGCTATGAACCAGAGTGGATAAGGATGCCCTGCATTTTCCTATGTCTCTAGGCACATACAATGGAAACTAGTATAACCTTTAATAATGAAGAAATAAAAGAATTTGGGAGAAAAAAACAACAACCCATAATTATTCTAAGAGAGTAGGAAACCGTGTGCCTTGAAATATTGCAGTAATTATCAGGTTAAATTTCTATGATCGCTGCAATTTCTATGAAACCTAGAAATGTTGGGAGCGTAGGCCTGGCATATCTCTTAAAGCAAAATTATACTTCTTTTTCATTCAGACTAAAAGGTCATAATTAAAGATATAATGAAGCTAAGTGAGTAATGGGATCTGCAATTCACTGGGGAAGTGCAGGATGCATGAAGGCCTCCTCCTATCCCTGAATGGGGGTCACCAAGTCAGATGGCCTTGGGAATGCCACAGAGTCTAGAACCCTCAAATAGGAGAATATAAAGTTGTCACCAGGGGCAACAGGAATGGCCCCTGAAAAAATTAGGCCAGAGGAGCAGCTTTGGAGTTTATTTTCTCCAAGGTTTTCTGGCACTATTTTTCGTGAACGTTAAAGAAATATGTACTTATAGTAAAAGATTTGGAAAGCTTTTATTTAAAAAAAATTTTTGGCCAGGTGAAGTGGCTCACGCCTGTGATCCCAACACTTTGTGGGGCTGAGGTGGGTGAATTGCTTGAGCCCAGGAGTTCAAGACCAGCCTGAGCAACATGGCAAAACCCCGTTTCTACAAAAAAAATACAAAATTTAGCTTGGCATGGTGGTGCACGCCTGTAGTCTATTTGGGAGGCTGAGGTGGGAGGATTACTTGAGCCTGGGAGGTCAAGGTTGCAGTGAGCCATGATTGTGCCACTGTACTCCAGCCTAGGTGACAGAGCGAGGCCCTGTCTTGAAAAAACAAAACAAAAAAGTCCTGAGAAGTATGAAAAACGTCACCTATACTCATCTAACTATTCCTCAGGCAACCACTGTTAGTATTTTAATATATTTCCTTCTAGATTTTTCTATGTGCTTTTCTTCACAGTTAAAATTTGCCTCTGTCTAGTACTTAGTATCCTACTTTTTTCACTTAAAATTGTCATTCATAATGATAGCAATAGCAATTCATTGGCCACTTGCTGTGTCCTTTGTTTAAATCCTTAAAAGATCTTATAAGATTTATTCCATGGTTGTCAATTGCTTGACATTTCTGTCTTTCAGTTTCCTGTCTGTAAAATGGAGTATTAATAGGGCCTACTGTATAGGGTTGTTGTGAGAATCTTGAGTTAATACATCTAAAGCACTTGGAACAGTGCCTGGCATATATGGTAGACACTTGATAGTGTTAACTATTATTATTACCCCCTTTTGCAAATGAGGAAACCAAGGCACGGAAGGTTAAGTAGCTTGTCCAAGGTCAGTAATAAGTGAGGAGCATGGTCAGGATTGAACACAGACAGTATGACTCCAGAGTCCCTGGCCTTAAGTATAGTGAGAGCCAAGTTCCTTCAGAGAAAAAGAACTGGAATTTGGTCCACAGCTGGGATTATGAGATACACAGATATATATCTGATAGATTTATAGGGGCTCTAATGGAAGCCAAGTTGCCAGAAAAGACATTAGAGGCACAGAGGGAGAATCCTTCATAAGGAAAGCTGGTGTCTCTAGGTTTCTTGAGTGAGAAACTGTGTCTATGTTCTTTGCCACTGTATCTTAGTTCCTAGAATAGTGGAATAGCACCTGACACAGAGTAGGCATTCGATGGACCTGTTGATTGGCTAAATCTTTCATGATGGAGTCATATTTAGCAAGTAGCTTAAAGATCAGAGGGACTGATGCTTTCAGGGTAACTGCTGACATCAGAACTCATTCTGACTTAGCCATCTTGGCAGAATGTCTGTTCCCTAAGAGAAAGATCCATGACAAGTGTACTGTTTAAAGGGTCTCCCTCAACTCTGGGATGCTTGGGAGCCCCCACGGTGGGATTCCCATTCTAACTTAGCCACACCATCTCCAGCCATCTCCTGAAAACATTATTGGCCAGGTCAAACTTCAACAGAGTTTCAGCTTACATTGGAGGTTTACCTACCAGCTGCTGGTAGAAACATGGTTCCAGCATGACCTACACAAATGTGGTGGCTGCTTAGGGTACAGTGGGAGGGGCAAAAGTTGAGTCAGGAGGAAAAAAGTAAAAAGAGCTTCAAAAAAGTAGAAAACTTACTGAGCCCTTGCTTTATGCTTCTACCTCCTGCAGTATCTCTGCCTTCCTCAACTGAACATAACGCAAACCAAGGGTAATCTTACTCATTTTGCAAATAGGGGTAACTGGGGAGTAATCTACAACATGGGAGTAGCAAGAGCAGGATCCTTGCCCCTTGGCATCGAGACACTGCCAGAGACCTGCTACAACAATTGAGTGGCAGTGGGACATTCCAGCTCACCATGGGCCTGTTGTGGACGGTGGTTCTAGAAGACCAACTTGACTAGACATAGCAGCATGCACTAATTTGGGTAAAGTCATTTCAGTCCTTGGTAAGAGATCCAGAAATAGTAGGGGAGGCGAATGCCTCAGGGGTCGGGACTTATAACATGAGTTGGTGGAGGCTTACGGTAATGGGGATTTGGATACTAAAGTGCTAATGGAACATTTGGATTGCATTGGTAACCCAATTAAAGTGTAGCTGGGGAGGCAGGATGGAGTAGTGTTTGAGGCACAGGCTTTGAATTCAGATAGATTTGATGGCAAATATCAGTTCGATTTCCTCAGCAGGTTATTTACCCTCTCTAGCCTTGGTTTCTAAATCTATAAAATGGATGTGATAATACCTACCCCACCGAGCTCTCTTGAGGATTAAATATGCAAAGTGTTTAGCAAAGGTCCTGGCATACATCAGCTATTGTGAATAAAGCAGCCTCCTGCTTTAGCATAGGCACATTCATGCACATCATCTCATTTCCTCCTTGCAATAACTCTTTGTAAGACAGGGATATTATTATCATCCCCAGTTCATGAATGAGAACAACAAGCCTCAGAGACCTTGGACAACTGCTCCAGATCACACACACTAAAAGTGGTGGCCCCAAGAGGCTTGCAGCACACTTCTGGGTCCCTTAAGTTGTATTATATAAGTAATTTAATAAAGACAATGAGCCAATTGACAATTAAAAAAAAAAAGTTGACCTTGTCTAGTGCAAAATAGTCTTGGGTGCTAGACTTAAGCCAAAAGCAGCCCCAAAATTTAAGGAATTGGGCTACCTATTTTGCAGGGAGATGGCCCCAAAAGGTGATACCTCTTCCCCTCAAAAACACCATCATGCTTCTCTGCTCCTCTGTTGCCTGAGAGTGTCCCAAAGTCTCCAGGAAGACACTTAGGACTCTGTGAGTGTGAAATTAACTAGGGATGTGGGCAAATATTTAGAGATTCATTGTGGCATTATTTAAAATAATGCTCCATCATAGGGGATCAGTTAATTAAATTGTGATGCACAGATACAATGAATAATATAGAGTTATTTAAGATAATATTGCCAAAATATGTCTGCCAGTAAGGAAAGTTTATCATGGAATATTATTATAACACAGTATGTAATGATCCCTTTTAAATTATATATAAATATATATAGTATATGCATAGAAAAGACTCTAGAAGCATCTATATTGACATGTTGTATTAGTTGAATCTGAACAGGTTTAAGGGTGTTTTTTAAGGGCTCATTTTGCCTATATGTTCTAATAGAAGACTGTTTTAGAAAATTTAAGGTGAATTGAACATATTTACTCAGAGTTAGACATGAATAATTTGCTTCCCCCCTGCCAAAAGGATGGCTAGGTTCAGACAAAAAATTATCGAATATTAGGATTCACATGCTCAGATGCCACATAAATCAGCAGTCACTGTTGCTCCTAACCCTTTATTATTATTTTATCACCTTCAGAGCACTCATCACCAACCACTTCATATGTTTTGGTTACTTGATTGCACTCTGAAGCCCCACTAGGAAACTATAAGTTCCTGAGAGTAGGGACTTTGATCTGTTCACTTTCTTGCAAAGAATATATGCTTAGTACATATTTGTTGAATCACACATTTGTTAAAATAATAAACATGACGCAGCTCTTCCATAAAAGACAAATCTTCCTCTTCCACTCTTGCCCCTCCACTTCCCCTTCACTTTCTCTTCACCCCCATCATCATCTTCCATTCATATTGTTTAGCACCCTAAGCACCATGGAGTATGGCAGGTGACCTTCGACGTCGGGGTTTGTAATACACATCTCTTGTGCTGTGCAATGATTTCCTGTATATAACGTTTTCTCCTGTTTTCCTCTTTTTAGTCTTCAAGGTTGTGGCAGCTGCTTGGCTACTGAAGGAGAGCAGAGTGCTGAGCTTTTGGGGTGGGGCGCAGGGTAGGTGGTCAGGTTCCAGGAGTAAAGAAAGGCTCAGCTGCTACTTATCATAAGCCTTGCAGGTGGGGATTGTGAGCCCGGAGCCTCAGATGGGAAAATGAGGTGTGGTAAAGCTTGGTGACTCCCACTAAACCCCTAGAATGTTGATAGGCCTCTCTTTGGGGCCCTGAGGCACCCCCTACCATTCCACCCATGCTTGTCTGATTCCCACTGGGCCATCAACTCCTGAAGGCACAGTCTAGGTTTGGTCACTTTTTTAGTCCCAGAGCCTAGCACAGCGCCTGACACATAGCAGCCACTCAGTGAACATTTGTGAACTCAACTGCCTAAAGTAGCATAGCCAAAATGCTAAGTGGTAAAATGTTAACGAAAGCCCATGCCTTCTGATTATCTTTGCTTGAGATGAAATCCTGGAATGATCCACTTTTAATGTAATGAATGCAGCCACCTCCCTACCTCCGGCCTCTTTATTTTCTTGTTTCCCTGTTCTCAGTCTACTTTCTGTTACCACCCTGCCTTCCCACCAGCCACTCTTCTAGCCAGTCCCTTCGTGAACTTTTACCATTTTGAAAATGGCCTTTGTTATAACGGATGGTTCTGGACAACATCAAAAGACATTTGCAAACTGAGTCTCTTTCAGGACCAGGAGAGTGTGGGGAATCCAGGGATTTCCCAATGTTGTGGTGAAATGTTCCAAAAAGCTGCAGCATCTTTGGGCCTGTTCATCCACGTTTGAAGAAGAATGCAGGAGAGTGGGGATGGGGAGCAAGCTGAAATTTTAAGGGGCCACAGAAACCCAGCGAGTAACCATAAAGCCCTAGAAAAGTAAGCTTTGAATAAAATAATTAGCTAGCAGTTATGTTTTATTATGTGCCAGGCATTGTGTTAAACACTTCACATAGAACTTTCTATTTAATCCTCCTAGCAACCCTAGGGCACAGCGCTTATTATACCCATCTTACAGAAGACAAAACAGAGGTCCAGAGAAGTCAAGCGACTTCCCTAATACCACACAGCTGGTTGGTTTTTGAGCTGTTATTAGAACCCAGGTTTATCTGTCTCAGGGACCAGTTATCCGTGCTTTGGTTTGCCCCCGGAGGGCGGAGCCAAACAAACGGCAGCCTGGCTGGTAAAGAACTGACATTTCAAGCACACAGGTGAAGTGGCTAGACCCAGACTGGCCCCGAGGCGGCGGGAGGGCCTTACAGCGGACCCCTCTTCCCAGCGCCCCCAGCCCCGCGCCCGCCACCCCGGGGCTGGCGCTGTCCGCGGTGCCGCCGGGCGGCGGATCCGGACTCGGCGCGCGGGGCGCGGGCGGAGGGACTGGGCGCGCAGCTGCCGCCGTTTCTGCTTCGCAGAGCAGATGGCGTCGGCGGGGGGCGGCCATTTGACGTTCGTAGCACTTTCCTTCGCGCATATGTTGCGGGCGGGGACGACCTCTAGCCCGCTGTGGCGGCGGGTTTCCAGCCCTAGACGCGCGGTTCCCCCCGGATCCGGCTCAGAACCCTAGCTCGGGCCCACGTCGGTGGACGAGGGGAGCTGGCACCGTCCCATCGGGTAATGACGTGCGTATTTCCCATCCTCACCATTGGCCTACAAGAATGGCCTTAGTCCCATTTTACAGCTGGAAAACTGAGGTATAAGAAGGAGCTGACCAGCAGTGGGGCTGGGACTCGAACCCAGAGTCGGCTGACTTCTGCCTGAGCACCTGGCGCTACTTGGTGACCAGCGTGTCTCCAGCCTGAGGGTCCCATCAAAAGCAAGTGAACTTTCTCGATCTTGCTTGTCTGTGTCCCAAAAACGTTCTTCCTTCTGTAGGGCCTTTGCATATGATGTTCTTTGAACCATCTCCCCAATCCCCACAGCCCGTTTCCTCCAAGGTCTCCTTTAGATCTTAGATCAGGGTCATCTCCTCAGGAAGCCTCCCTGGAATGCACCATAGCCCCAAAGATGGCGAGGATCATTTGATTAATGTGAGTGATCCTCCCCCCAAACTGTAAGTTCCATGAGGGCAGGGAGTGGGTGTGCTTTTCTGTTCAGCATTCTATTCCCCGTGCATAATAAGCACTCGAGAAATAGTTGTGAATGAATGAGTAGTTAAATGAATGAATGAATGAATGAATGAATGAATGAACAGAGTTTTCTGAAGGAGCACCTGCTTCCTCACTATCCAATGATCAGCTGTTTGGGGGTGGAGGGAAGGCTGTTTGGGAATCCTGGGCCTTCTCAACCGCAACTTTTTATTCATTAAGCCTACGCTATGGCTGTTTCCAGGCTCCTCCACCCCCGCCATTGCCCTGTGACTGGAGGCCAAGCCCTGCCCTCCTGTTGACAGAGTGGAGTCTTCCTTATGCTGATGAATGAAGTGACCGTTAATAAGATGAAACCAGGCCAGAAAAAGCCAAATGAGGAAGCTGGCAGCTTTGTAAGTGGTTTTTCAGGGGGAAAAGTGAGAAAATGGACACTAAAATGGATCCTTTAAGTTGCTTTTCTGACCTGCTTAGCGGGAGAGCTGGAGATTCCAGGCCATTGGAGGGCTTCCCAGATGGAAAGAGTTCAGATGCAACAAATATTTACTGACGCCTACTAGGTGCCAAGGGCTCCTTGGGGCTCGATGACAAACAGCTCGGAGGATGCTTGGCACTCTCAAGCCTCATTTGAGCCTCCCCAAAACTCTGAGAACAGAGGTTCATTGCCTCTGTTCTTCAGAAAAGGGAACTGGCTCAGGGGGTCAAATGGCCTGCTGAAGATCACCCTGCCAAAATTTTATCGTGGAAGAGTTTTCATTGCTTTTTGAAAAATCCGAATGTGATATTTTTGTGATTAAAGAAAAAAGTATCTTAAATTTGTTGATACTTGACTTGCAGCTTGATCATGTGGCTGCTTTTACACCATCTCCCTGACTGGAAAAATTATCTCCTCTTTGAGAGGTCTCAGATTGACAGAGCTCGAGCTCCCTCATTTACTGAATCCAGTAACTCTTTCAGTTCAGTGACAAGACTAATAGCAATAAGTCCTTAATAAGACTAATAGCTATAGCTTATGAGTCCTCATTACTTATTGACTAAGTAGTAACACTAAATTAATGTTGAGTACTTTATATGCATGAGCTCATTTAAACCTCACAACCCCAATGAAACAGGCATAATTTCTGTCCCAATTTTGCAGATGAAGAAACTGAGAGTCCAAGAAGTTAAGTAACTTTGTCAGGATCAAGAGCTAGTGAGTAACAAAGCTAGGATTCAAACCCAGGTAGTTAACTGCTATACATTGCCATATTAATGGTTTTCAGGCTGTTCTCTGAGGGACCTCAGGGTTCTATTTACCCAGAAGTGGAGGAGCTGGAAGCACAGAGACATTTAGCTGGGCAAGCCTGAAAGCCTAGTCCACCCAACCAGGACAGCTCTGCTCTTATCTCCTAAAGTGAATCTGCTACATCTTGTCGGACGAAGAGTACCCAGTGCTAAAAAAAAAAACATTAAACATATTATAAGTTGAGAACAGACAACACTCTTGGTCCCACAGTTGGTTGCATGGCTGTGCTGCTAGCAGGGTAGTAGCACCTGGAGGCTGAGCCTTGTCTCTTCTATGCATCACCCCACAGTGCCCAGCCCTGTGTCTCAGTAAATGCCACCCCCATTGGATGAAACATATCAGAGTGTATTGCAGTGGCTGTTCCACTGTACTTTACTCTTCACATCTTCCGGAACTTCCAAGGGTACCTGCAGCCATGCAGAGAAGACCCTCCTGGATCCACCTCCAGCTGGTGGACATGGAGAGGAAGGACTCTGTGCAGGTCAAAAGAGAGACTTAGTGGGCTGTGCCTGGTGGCTCAACACCTGGGAGGCATAATCCCAGCACTTTGGGAGGCCAAGGCAGGCAGGTCACTTGACATCAGGAGTTCAAGAGCATCCTGGCCAACATGGTGAAACCCCATCTCTACTAAAACTCCAAAAATTAGCTGGGTGTGGTGGCAGGTACCTGTAATCCTAGCTACTCAGGAGACTGAGGCAGGAGAATCGCTAGAACCCAGGAGACAGAGGCTGCAGTGAGCAGAGATCATGCCACTGCACTCCAGCTTGGGCAATAGAATGAGACTCCATCTCACAAAAAAAAAAAAAAAAAAAAAAAAAAGAGGGAGAGATTTAGTGGAAGTGGCCTGAGGGCAGCACAGAAAACAGCTAGATGCTGTGGCTTCAATTTGTCCCCAGGGATTTTCTGGAGTTATGGGGGGTAGGAAGGGCAACAGCCTCAGGCTAGAGGAAATAGGAGCCTCGGGCTTTGAGGACAGGGAAGAGCACTGTGCTACCTGTTAAGAAGGTAGTGACTCTGCCTTTGGGTGATAGTGAAGATTGTGACACTCATGTACATATATCAGGCTGCTGGCTGCCCAGCCTAACTCCCTATCCATACCTCTGTCCGGCCATACCCACACATTTTTATGGTTAATGTCTTCACGGTAACTCTTGATGTTTATTATTTAATTCACATCCCATATGTGTTCTTCAATGTTAGACATGCAATAAAATCCAGCATTAGCAAAAACTAAAACAAAGTCTAAAAACCATCAGCAAAAACTAAAATCAAACAAAAGTATAAATTAAAATAAATACTAGAGTTAAAGAAGAGCGTTAGAATGCAGGTGTGCCGATGGTGACAGTGTAAACAGTTACCGGAGTTGAGCTTCAAAACTAACGTTTAGCTCCCTAGTAGCCAGAATGAAAACGGAAACACAACCCGTTATATGATTCGATTTTCTGTGAGGAGATGCTGAGTTGCTCAAGGGATGATGAGCTTTTCTCTGAACCTAGAATAAACAGAATTTTGTTATGCGGGGTTTCACCTACTAAGAAATGTAGATTGTAATGTCCCTTATAAAAGACCTACAGTAAGCTTAGTGCAGTTTTCGTCTATAAGTCAAGCTGGCACCTTAATGCACAAAATTGGACCTCACTGAAAACAGTGCTTCGAGGGGCCACATAGGTTCTGAGGGTTCCACTGAATGCAGAAATTTTGAACAGGTTTTATGGAGGAACAGATAGAACCACATGTCCCTCAAATAATGCTCCCTGAATAGTGCTTCTCTCAGCAGGGCTTTGGATAAGACTTGGACAGCAGGCAATTCAAGCTTGGAGTATGCTTACTGTGTTTTGCTGATTAAGTACAGAACTAGCTTCAATTTTCTATTTAATCTATGCCCAAATGTATCTATGCAGTGAATAGTCTTCAAATAAAAAGAGAAAGAGTAGTAAGTTTTATGAAGTGGACCTCAACAAAATACATGTTTTTGAATCTTTATAAATAAAATTTGCATTGATGTTCTATGTGTGCTTCTTCCATTGCTTCATTCCCAGATCATAGTCCAAACAAATTCTGCCAGACTGTAGACCTGGCCTTGATATTGCTGGTTCATTTAGCAGGTACACCATTCATCTTCAAGGAAGGAAGAAAATAAAGATGTCATCAATAATATTCCTACAGAGCCTCCAAGCCAACCAAGTTCTCCTAGTTTCAGAGGCAGTAATTTGTTCTCTGATATATGGGGATTGCTTTTTGTTGGTAGCTGAGAACCAATCAGTCTTCAGAGGTGGTTGTAATTAATAGGTAAGGAAGTGCAAATACATCTGAATTAATAGAGCCACTAGGTGTGACTAACTATAATATGATTACATGTGAAATTAACCCACAGATCAAACCTAATCAATCCAGACTAATAACTGCCAGGACAACAATTTATGGTTTTAGATGAGTTTACTTTGAGAGCAACTAAAGAAAATGAACTCGGTTAAAATGTAAAGTCTGGGTTTTTTTAAAGTGTGAGCAGCATACTAAGATTATAAATATGCATGTAGATGATATTAATGTCCAGATGTCAGACAACCAAACCACTATTTGTATTGGCAAGTGAGAGTCAACAAAATTAGAAAATTGGAAATTAGTAAAGAGAAACACACATTTAAACAATGAAGCTGAAATAATATAGAATGCGAGACTGTCAAAAAGTTGCAACTTCTACTATTCATTTATCTGATTCCAGTAACTTTTTAAAAATTCTAAACAATATTTCATACACAGATTATATAAGCTATAAAGAACAAGAAAATAAACAGCCATGTACTTACAACCTGGCTTCAGAACCACAACATTAACAGATTCATTGCAGCCCTTTGGGCATTTTTCCCTGATTCCAAACCTCCTGTCCCCCGGCCCACCAGTAAACACTATCCTGAATTTTGTGTTTTGTTATTGTGGCAGATTATATTGCCAGCCCCAATTCTTCACCCTTTACTGTATCCACACCTTTTCCTATGTAACTCTACAGAGACCTCCCACTGTGGAGAAGGCACATCTCCCCATATCTTTGGGTTTGGCCAATAGAAGGAAGTAGAAATGATACGTCTGTTCTGAGCCCAGGCCTCAATAATCTTTCCATGATTCCATTTGCTTTTTTGCACCTTTGCCATCACCACAAAAAGAACATGGCTGGACTAGTATGCTACTCAAGGAAGAGGATGAAAGACAAGTGGAGTGGGGCTGAGTTGCCCCAGCCAAGCCAGCCTAGATCAGCCAACCCCTGGCCAGGCCCCAACTCCGTGAGAATACATGACTGTGGCTTTAAGACACTAGGTTTTAAGCAATTCCTTATACAATATGTTTGTGGCAATTGCTAACTTACAGACTCATTCTTCCTTTTCTTTACAGTTTTACTGCAGACATGCCCCTGAACATATTTAGCTTTGCATATTTTTGAACTGCACTTAACAGGTAACATACTAGTGAATTCTTTTGCATAGGTGGCATTAGGATTTAAAAGGTCCGAGTCCATGATTGAAAAGAGCCCTATATAAGCCAAGAGTTTTAAAAAATTACAATAGTTAGCAGGTAAACAGACTTTCAGGTGGGCATATTGCCAAGAGGCCCCTGCAGCCAGGTCAACATAAACAATAACACCAGCACACAGACGATAAGGCTTTGGAAAAAAAAAAGCACAGAAAAAAATGAAGAATGAGCCATTCATTTATGGATGCATTCCATTCAATGGAGACTGTGGTGAGACAGAAGAGCTGAGGAGTCAGGCAGACCTGGGTCACAGCCCCACACCCTCCCTTTTCACTGGTGTAAATCTCAGCATTATTTTATACTCTCTGAGCCTCAGTTTTGCTGTCTGAAGAATGGGTATAATAACCCCTCCCTACCAAGGACTAAAAGCAAGTTCATTCACTCCCCCTCTATTTCTAACCTGTATAGAGGGATGGGAAGTGATGGGATGAGTGCACAGATGGAAAGGAAGAGAAACTTTTTCTCCTGAAGCATGAGGAATTTGCGAGTTGAAGGAAAGGCAGTTAAAGAATGTTCCTCTGTCATGACCTTCCTTCTTGGTAGAAAAGATGACAAAGTCATCTGCGGGTTTGGAAGGGTCAAGAATAGAGTTAGGGTCCTGTGGAGAAAGCTATTAACAGCCAGAGGGAGGGGGGAAAAACCATTCGCAATGCTTTGTGTAAAAGATCTGTAAATACTTAGAGGATGTCATAGTATTTTAAATTATGTAATGATTTCAGAAGTTTTCTAGTTCAAAACGTTCATTTTACAGATGCAAGAACAGGTCTAGAGAGATCAAATCTTGATAAAATCATACAATGAATTAGATAGAGTGCATCTGGGATTGCTGAGCTTCTGACTCCCATCCATTCTGGTATTTCTTACTTTTTCCTTCTAGAATTTGTCTATTTCCTCTTGAGGAATGGTATGTCTAGTTGTCATACTAACTTCTGCAGCAGACTGAATGTTTTTGTCCCCCCAGATTCATATGTTGAAACTCTAACCCCAATGTGATGGTATTTGGAGATAAGGCCTTTGAGAGGTGATTAGGTCATGAGGGTGGATCCCTCTTGAGTGGGATTAGTGCCCCTAGAAGAAGAGGCCAGAGAGCTAACTCTCTCTCTCTTTGTCTTCCGCATGAGGATACAACAAGAAGTTGGTAGTGTGCAACTCAGAAAAGGGCCCTCACCAGAACCCAACAATGCTGGCACCCTGGTCTCAGACCTGTAGTCTCTAGAACTGTGAGAAATAAACTTCTGTTGTTTCTAAGCCACCCTGTCTATGGTACATTTTTATAGCAGCCAGAACTGACTAACACAGCTTCCCTTTCAAAACTGAGTAAACCTAGTTCCAATCATCTTTTCTTGTAAGAAAAAAAATCCATCGCACAGACTTTTAACAAAGTTTTTTGTTCTCATCTAAGCTCTCACCTCCCATTCTCTCCTGATCCCTCTCCACCCAGGCTTCTGCCCCACCATTCCTCCATAATTGCTGCTGTGACCATCATCAAGACCGCCATGTTGCTAAATCCAGTCACCAATTCTCAGTCTTCAACTTAAGTTGCTAACAACTTCGTTTTAATATAGTTGGCCCCTCTTTCCTCCTTCAAACACCTTTCCCGCTTGGTCTTCAGGACATCACACTCTCCTTGTTCTCTTTCTTCTTCACTGGCTGCTCCTTCTCATTTCCCTTTGATGCTTTATTTTCATGTCTCTTTCCTCATAATGGTGGAATGTCCAGAGCTTTGTTCTTGGATCTCTTCTCTTCTTTATCTAAACTCATTTACCTTGGTAATTGCATCCAATCTATGGTCTTTAAATATTATTTATATGCTGATGAATTCCACATTATATTTTCATCCTGCTTCACTCCCCAGAGCTCCAAATTCATATATCCAGCTGCTCAACCACCACCTCTACTTGGATGTATAAAAACTTTCTTAAACTGAACACATCTAAACCAAGCTCCCCATCTCTCCCTCCCCACACTGTACTTCCTAGTCTTCTCTAACTTAGCAAATGGCAACTTTATCCATTCAGTTGCCCAGTTCAAAACTATTAGCATAATCTCTGACTTTTATCATTCTCTCACACATCATATCTAGTCTATGGGATATGCCTTTAAAATACATCCAGAATCTCACCATCTCCCATCCTCTCCACCGCCATTACCTTTCACTTGGGTTATTTCAATAGCTGCCAACCTAGCCTCCCTCCATCCATGTTGCCCAATAGTCTTTTCTCAACATTGTCCAGAGACAGCCTTTTAAAACACATGTCATGTCATATCACTTCTCTCCTCAAAACCCTCTAATAGCTCCCCATTTTATTCCAAATAAATCCAAAATCCTTACTATGACTGTGGAGACCTTCCACAGTCCAGCTTCAGGTTAACTGTCTGACTCAGCTACTCACTTTCCCTCTCACAAACATCCACTGCTTGTCCCCTTACAAATGTGATCACACTTAATATACTGTTCAGCAGTTTAACTTAGCACTGTATCTTGACAACATTTCTACATCAGCACCATCTACTCCATTCTTTTTAACAGCTTTTAGGAAAATGCTTATGATATAAAACTTAAGAGACAGAAGCGGTATATAAGTAATATGCAGAACATTAACTTAAACATGTGCAAAATTGAAAAAGAAAACAGTGTGAGAAGGAAATATGTCAAAGTGTCAAACATGTTTGCCACTGATTGAAAAATTAGGTTGTGTTCTCCTCTCTGCTTCTTTCTGCTTTGTTTTTACTTTCCAAATTCTCTCTATATAATAATTACATTAATTCATACAATGATTAAATACAAATATGCATGTGGAAAAAAAGGCCAGAAAATGTTGCTTGGCAGGTGAATGGACAGATCAATTTTTATATATCCACTCAGTGGAAACTACTTACCAATAAAGGAAGACCTACTGGTACACACAACATGGATGACTCTCAGAAAGGTCATGCTGACTATAAGAAGCTAGACACAAAAGAGTTCATACTAGATGATTTGATTATATAAAATTCTAGGGCTGGGCACGGTGGCTCACGCCTGGAATCCCAGCACTTTGGGAAGCCGAGAAGGGCAGATCACAGGAAGCCAGGAATTCGAGACCAGCCTGACCAACATGGTGAAATCCCATCTCTACTAAAAATACAAAAATTAGCCGGGTGTGGTGGCACGTGCCTGTAGTCCCAGCTACTCGGGAGGCTGAGGCAGGAGAATCGCTTGAACCCAGGAGGCGGAGGTTGCAGTGAGCCGAGGTCGCGCCACTGCACTCCAGCCTGGGCGACAGGGCGAGATTCTGCCAAAAAAAAAAAAAAAATTATAGGATGGGCAAAATTAATCTGTAGTTACAGAAAGCAGATCTGTAATTGTCTGGGGACTGGGGTGCCATATGGAGGCACTAGGCATCTTCTGGGGGGTAATGCAAATTTTCTATACCTTGATTGTTGTCATGTCTTCATGGGTATATACAGCTGTCAAAACTCACCAAACTGCACACTTAAAATGAATGCATTTATTGTATGAAAATTTTATCTCAATAAAGTTGATTTTTTAAAGAAAACAAAATACTAAAAAGCAATCTACAAAAATGGCAACAATCCCTGTTATAAAAGAATGGTGGTGAGATATGGGGCTGTGTGTTCTATAATATTATATGAAGATACATAAGCATATGCAGGAAAAAATTCTCAAAAGCTGGTTGAGGAATCAGAACTGTCTCTTAAAATTCAAGTTCCTTGAGGTGCCATTTTGTAAAAGGATATTTCTTAGGGTTCCTCCCTGTGGCACAGGAGTGAAACAAATGGAACCAAATTGCTCTGCAGAGTAAAGAAAGATGAATTTTGAGGAGGCAGGTGGTGAGCCCAGGAACAAAGAAAAGCTGGGAGAGATGAGAAGGGTCAGAGGGTTGGGTTCTGAAAGATGAAAGAAGGTGGGACCTGAGAGAGGAGATAGCCAGGGAGAAGTTCTTGGGGATAAGTACTGCTAAAAGACTTAACTAGGCTGGGCACAGTGGCTCACACTTGTAATCCCAGGGCTTTGAGAGGCCCAGGCAGGCAGGTCACAAGGTCAGGAGTTCGAGACCAGCCTGGCCAATATGGTGAAACCCGTCTCTACTAAAAATACAAAAATTAGCCAGGCGTGGTGGCACATGCCCGTAGTCCCAGCTACTTGAGAAGTTGAGGCAGGAGAATCACTTGAACCCAGGAGGCGGAGGTTGTAGTAAGCCGAGATTGTGCCACTGCACTGCAGCCTGGGCAACAGAGGGAGACTCTGCCTCAAAAAAAAAAAAAAAAAAAAAAAAAACAAAAAAAAAACAAGGCTTAACTACGTTGTAATGTTCATCTTTAGTGGTTCGCCATTCACTCCTGCTGAATTACCGGTAAAAACTCTCCCCCACACAACCCCCTGTTGGGGACATCAAAGGAAAGAACTATCGCTCATTGTGGGAGGCAGGGCTCAAGGAGCAGGTGAAGCTGCCAGGTCAGAGGAAGATCAAGAATTTAGTGGGAGAATTGGAGCAAAGTTCTCCAGTAGAAACACAACTGCACACACACATTCCTGGGGTGAGGAGGAGGATGCCCAGTTTTCCTTTGCATATAGGCTGTGTGTTCAAGCTGCTTTATTTAAGCACAAGCTCTCACCCTTAGGTAGGCTAGAGGATTAGAGTCAAGGGCACAACCTGATGTCAAACATTAGGTTTTTACTACCTACATATACTTAAAAATAACTAAATAAATAAAAAATAAAAAGTAATTGATCTTTGTTCACGGAACTGGATTAACACTCAAATCCTGTTTTGAAAACAGGAGTTGAATTTACTTATTCTGAGGTTCAGAATAAAATTATTAAGTCAAATTGGAAAAAAAAATTGTATGCACCAGAGCTCCTCTTGAGGAGAGTTCCTTTTTTTTTTTTTTTTCCTCCTGGACTAATTTAATTTGGTTGTCACTGTTCACTTTTTGATATAGGAGACTCATTTCTGATCATCTCCTTTGAACATTCTTTTAAATTTTATTTTACTTTAAGTTCTTAGATACGTGTGCAGAACGTGCAGGTTTGTTGCCTAGGTATACATGTGCCGTGGTGGTTTGCTGCACCTATCGGGGAGAATTCTATGTAGAAAATTCTATCTGGAATTATTCCTATCTAGAATCCTATCTAGAATTATTCCTATCAGGAGGAATAATTTGATAAGTCCTTGGGAATAATAAGAGGTAACCTTTACTGAGTACTTTTTATATGCAGGCCCTCACAGGCTTTTTTGTTTTGTTTTGTTTTGTTTTGAGACAGGGTCTCGTTCTGTCTCCCAGGGTAGAGTGCAGTGGTGCAATCATGGCTCACTGCAGTCTTGAACTCCCAGGCCCAAGCAATCCTCCTTGCCCAGCCTCCCAAGTAGCTGGAGCTTCAGGTGCACACCACCATGCCCAGCTACTGTTTCGTATTTTTAGTAGAGATGGGGTTTCACCATGTTGCCCAGGCTGGTCTCAAACTCATGGACTCAAGCAATCCACCCCCCACTCACCCTCTGAAAGTGCTGGGATTACAGGTGTGAGCTATGGCACCTGGCCCCTCAGAAGTATTAAATCATTTAATTTTCACTAGAGTGCTATGAAGTAGGCATTATGATTACCCCTACTTTCTAGATGAGAAAACCGAGGCACATGGAGGCTAGATCATTTGTCCAGAGTCACAAAATTTGTGAATGAGAGAGTTGGGGATTTATTCCAAGAAGTTGAGAAATCACAACTGAAGGCGGGGTATGGGGTGAAAGTGTGCTAGAGGGATGTAGCGGGTAGGGACCAGAGATGCTGTTAATCATCCTGTAATGCACAGCACTTTCCCCCTCTCCAACAACAAAGAATTATCCAGACCCAAATGTCAATAGTGCCAAGGTTGAGAAACCTTCCTTGTAATCCCACCCTGCACCTCATACTAAAGTCGAGGTTGGGGGAGCTCCCCTAAGACGTATGCCACATTAATGCTATTGCTGTCATACTCCCTTTTGAGGAGGTGGGCCTGGTTAACTGCAGGAGGTTTCTCTTACTGACAGGAATACGCAAATTAGTGGCCAGAGCTGAACTGTCTAGAACAATAAAGGCACAACTAAGCTTTTTCGGTGGAAGGGTGGCAGTGGAGAAAAACACAGGTGATGGTGGGAGAGAAGGTGACCACGGAAGGACACATACATCTGCTGGAAATGTGTGGAGAGTTTTGCTATTAGGGGTGCATGTAAGCTCTCTTTTTCAGTTCTCCAACATCTTTATTACGAGCTGCATTGCCTGATAATGTTTTGCATAATGAAATTTCTTTTGGAGAGAATAAAAAAGAAATACAGATATACATGCCCCCTAACATACACATCACAGAGTAGAAACATGCTGTTTGCTCATGGGGGGACATGAAAGTTACACATCTCAGTCAATTCTGTGGCCTGCTCTGAAGGAAGAAGACAACATATTGTCTATAACCTGAAGCACCATCTACAAAACCGTTGACAAGCTCCTCCAGTCTCAGGGCTACATGTCAATGACTCCCAAATTTCTGTCTCCAGCCCAGACCTCATTTCAGAGCTGCAGATTTCTTTATCCAATTCCCTCCTGGATCTCTCTGCCAACTTCTCAAAATTCAACATTTTTAAAAATGGACTCATGATCTATTTCTCTCTCCACCTGACTCCCATCTTCACAGTTGATGGAATTTTCCTGCAACCTTTCAACCAGTAATCGTCAGGGACCCCTATCTTTGTCTCTCAGCAGCTTCCCCATCCGTCACCAAATCTCTCCCCAAAGTATCTCTTGACAGTGACCCCTTTTCTATCCACAAATTTCACAAATATATGTGTGCTTTTGCTATTAATTTTCAACAGGAAAGTGGAAAGGCTAAAACACAATTCCTCCAAATCAATATGTTGGGCGCTTTCTGCCTCCAGCTTTATAAATGACCCAGAAAAAAAAGAACAAATGTAAATTCATGGTGAGTGCTGATGATACAGAATTACGTGGCAAGCTGTGGCCAGGGGCAAAGAGCAGGAAAGATTCATCATGACTTAGATCAGCTCAGCAATTGAGCTGACACACGGCCAATTAAGTGTGTTCATGGGAAGCACTAGAGAAGTGTGCAATGAGGCCCATGGAAAAAAGGCAAGCTTGGACCAGCTGACTCAGAACCAGATCCAATCACCTCACCTGGAGACACAGACTCAGCTCCTAAAACATGAACAGATAGGGTTGAAAAGAGAAGCTTGGATTCACCAATCCCAGGCAAGGATATTTCCCACTCTGTCCTTTTTAATATCAGAGCATGCATAATAAGTTTCCCTGATTTTCCCAAGGATTTTTTTTTTTTTCTCAGCACTGGGCAAATGTGTCATTTTAAGTATCTGAATGTCCTTGTCCTAGTGAAGTGAGAACTGTAGATTTTTTTGAGCTCAGAGGCCACCCATGCTGGGTTCCCAGTTGTGGACTCTGAGCCTCTGGGGCACCCTAGAGCTGTTGCAGGGATGCCTGAACCAACATGTACATTACGTTTGTCTATGGACCGAATCAATTAGTCTTGCTTCATCTTAGGGCCATGGAGCTATCCCTAGGTAATTTATAGTGAATTTTAGGCATCTATGAACCTTCTGAAATTGAATGCAAATATTTTATATGTGTGTTTATTTGACAACTTGCAGGGGGAAAAGGATCATTGTATTTTATCATCTTCCCAAAAGAGGTCTGAAAGAAAACTTCCTATTCAAGTAAATGCCATGTATGATTTAAAAATATATACATTAGATTATGTTGTAATTAATACACTCCTAGTTTATTTAAGGCATTGATTTAAAAAGAACAATTTTTTGTTACTGTACATTTTTTGTGTCAAAGAATGCTTTAGTACTATACAAAGGATTATTTGCAAGTCCTTGAAATATTTTTGGTATTTTTACTGAAAGAAGCCCTCACAAAACATAACTGATAAAGGGCTTGAATCCAGAATCTATAAGGAAAGCTCACAACTCAACGAGACAGAATTCCATAGGTACGACATTCTAGGAGAGACAAAACTTTAGGGACAGAAAATTGATCAGTGGATCAGAAGCTGGGGTTGGGGGAATGGGGATTCATTGCAAAGAGACACAACAAACTTTTGGGGTGATGGGAATGTTGCTTTGGCAGGAAAGTAGTTTTTTGTTTGTTTGTTTGTTTGTTTCCCTTTTCTCCTTCTTCTTATAGGGTTACCATCAGAAGGGATGTAATGAGTTCTCCACAGTTCCCTAGACATGTCCCTTATCTGTGCATGAACTCTTCCAATGTTCATTTGTTTGTGGCAGCGCAGTAATGAGGAAAGATTTCCACTCAGAAAATCCCCCTTGTGCACTCAACAGCAGAAGGGCTCACTCAGCTTCTCAGGAAAGTGGCCACTGGGTGTTGACAGTCTCCTGCTATTCACCGGTGTGCTTAGAAATTACACAAACAAATAACAAATCTTGTTCTTTTCTCAGAAACATGCCAGTGCATGCATTGCTTCCACGGTGGCCATATTGCTGAGGAAACTCAGTAATGGGACTCTCCCTGCCCTGGGAGCCCCTGCTCATTAACTTCTCTCCAGAGACCCCTTACCCTGAGCAAAGCATATGGAATGACAGCTCTGCAGCCCCTTAGCACGAGGGAGATTCCATTTGATTCACAATTTGCCTAGAGGGCCGAGGGGCCAAGAGGACACAGGGTTAATTCACTTGCCTAGCTTAGGTTCAAATCTGTCTACACGCTGAAATGGGCTGGATGGGTGGCAATCAATTCAGCATTTTAACAGGCAGCTGCCCACCCCACCAATACCTCCTGGCTTCCCAGGATGCAGATCTGGAGCTAGAGAGGACAAGATGGTACTGGGCGGTTAGAGCAATGGAAATATTCTATAGTTGAACCGTGCTCCTTGATTAATGAGCTTTTAAAAAATCATTCTTTTAAGGAGCTCTTCATTCCTGAAGAGAAGAAGCATTTGCTTCCATAGAGCAAAGAAACCATAGAAATCCAGCAGCTGACTTGCACTGGTGAGTCCAATCCATCCAAGCACAAATCTGATTAATGACCCAGCTTTTTAATGACACAAATTCTGTTACGTCATTCAAAGGGAAATGCCCTTTGCTTCTCTGAGCCTAGTCGTGGTCAGGCCTGGAACACAGTTGAGAGCTTACTGAGTGTGTGTGTGAAATGTGAGGGATTCTACACCTGACAAAGTAATCTATGTGGGTGTCACTTTATTGAAGGTGGGAGAGCCTCGTGGTTACACTGGGTTCTAAAGCCAGACTGCCTGGTTTAACTCCCGCCTCTGCCTCTGCCACTTGCTAACGAAGTGTACTGGGGCAAGTTTATCAGCATCTCTGTCCTTCTGTCCCACAGTTGTAGAATGGAGATTAATAGCGTTACCTACCTCAATGGGTTGTTGTATTAAATGAAATAATATATGTAGAGTGTTCAGCACATGCTGGACATGTAGTGGAAATGTGATCAATGTTGACTACTATTGATGACAGTTTGATGCAATCAGACATTTACAAAGAGGACAGAAATTAGAAGAAAGGAAACACCCAGCTGTGCCTTGGCCTGAGTTTCCTTTGTCTCCTGTTTCTTGACTGTTTTGGCTTCTTTTTGTCCCTGTTTCTCCCCACTTCTTCTCAACACCCCCCACTTCCTTGCCATTACCAGCACTTGGCGACAAAACTCCTGAGAATAAAGCACATTTCTAAGTTGAATTTTAGAGATTTAGTGTCTCATCTGGTGTAATTTTCCTCAGAAAGTGCTGAGTGCTTCAGTTGCTCCTGAGATCCCATGTTACAGCTCGGGGCTCTGAAGCGAATAGTCCTAGATTAATTATTCCCAGCAGATATAAGGACTGAACCCAAGAATGACTTGAAAGCTCTTAAGGAATGCAGAAGGGCTCTCCCTCTACCTCTCCCCCTCCCCCTCCCGCTCCCCCTCCCCCTCCCCCTTTCCCGTCTCCCCACGGTCTCCCTCTCCCTCTCTTTCCACGTCTCCCTCTGATGCGCAGCAGAAGCTGGACTGTACTGCCGCCATCTCGGCTCACTGCAACCTCCCTGCCTGATTCTCCTGCCTCAGCCTGCCGAGTGCCTGGGATTGCGGGCGCACGCCGCCACGCCTGACTGGTTTTCGTATTTTTTTGGTGGAGACGGGGTTTCGCTGTGTTGGCCCGGCTGGTCTCCAGCTCCTAACCGCGAGTGATCTGCCAGCCTCGGCCTCCCGAGGTGCCGGGATTGTGGATGGAGTCTCGTTCACTCAGTGCTCAATGTTGCCCAGGCTGGAGTGCAGTGGTGTGATCTTGGCTCGCTACAACCTCCACCTCCCAGCCGCCTGCCTTGGCCTCCCAAAGTGCCGAGATTGCAGCCTCTGCCCGGCCGCCACCCCGTCTGGGAAGTGAGGAGCGTCTCTGCCTGGCCGCCACCCTGTCTGGGAGGTGTACCCAACAGCTCATTGAGAACAGGCCATGATGACGATGGCAGTTTTGTCGAATAGAAAAGGGGGAAATGTGGGGAAAAGATAGAGAAATCAGATTGTTGCTGTGTCTGTGTAGAAAGAAGTAGACATGGGAGACTCCATTTTGTTCTGTACTAAGAAAAATTCTTCTGCCTTGGGATGCTGTTAATCTATAACCTTACCCCCAACCCCCTGCTCTCTGAAACATGTGCTGTGTCCACTCAGGGTTAAATGGATTAAGGGTGGTGCAAGATGTGCTTTCTTAAACAGATGCTTGAAGGCAGCATGCTCGTTAAGAGTCATCACCACTCCCTAATCTCAAGTACCCAGGGACACAAACACTGCGGAAGGCCGCTGGGTCCTCTGCCTAGGAAAACCAGAGACCTTTGTTCACTTGTTTATCTGCTGACCTTCCCTCCACTATTGTCCTGTGACCCTGCCAAATCCCCCTCTGCGAGAAACACCCAAGAATGATCAATAAATACTAAAAAAAAAGAAAAAAAAAGGAATGCAGAAGGTACTTCTCAGGCTCTGGAGAAGGTCACATTTTGCTTTTCCTCCTGGAATTTCTAATTGAGAAGAAGACTGCCTCTAAGTATCATGAATGGAAACCAAAACCAGAATCTTCTGCTGAGAAAGTCCTGAAAGACCTGGGTCTTAATAGGCTTCCAGACCCAAATGATCTCGAATACATTGGTATAGAAGACTGGGCAGGGTTCAGCCTTCGGCCTCTTCATTTTACAGAGGAAAGCTAGAGCTCAGAGAAGCAAAGTGACTTGCCTTCATCACACTGTCTTTGTGGCAGGACCAAGACTCCAAATCAAAACCCAGGGCTCTGTCTACACCAGGCAACTTCCCATCTCTGCTGACCACCCCATTGCAGAACAAGTTTTCTTCAGGTCTTATCAAACCCAAACCCTCTCTTTCCTGGTTGGCACATTGACTCTGTTCTGAAGCGAAACATGGAGATTTCCCCTTCAGAGAGCCAACAATAAGGCACATTCTCCCATGAGTCCTGGACGTACTCTGCCCAGGATATCTGTGGTAGATAGCGTTCTAAGAACTCCATGGCCGTGAAGTGTGGGAGGTTGATACAAGACCCAGGCGGTGTCCCAGGACTCTCAGAGTCTGAAAATGCTGAGACCACGGAGGGAAGTGTAGAACTCTCAGGCAAGGCTGGACAAAGCCCAGGAAATCCTGAGGTGGCTCATAGGTAAGACCAAGTAGAATTCATACCCATGATGCTCCAGTTAAGCCCGAACACCAGCTAGCAACATGACGTGGGCTCCCCTTTCCACATCTCTGAGCCCTAGTTTCTCCTGCAAAATAAGGAAATGGATGACCTCTGAGTCTTCCTCCAGCTCTAACAGCCTCCTCTGTGACCCTAAAGGTGTAGTGCTGATTGATTAAGTGCGTAAGTCTTGACATCATATGCGGGCTCAAATCCTAGTGCTACCATTGTGTGACTTTGGGTAAATAACTTCTCTAGGCATCAACTTTTTCTTCTGTAAAATAGAGAAAATGATACTATATACCTCCTAGTTTGTTGTGGAGTGGCATGTGTAGTTGCATAAAATACCTGAACAGTGTTTAGCATGGAGATTAACAAGTGGTAGTAGATGCTCCGATCAACCAATTTCTCCTCCCACCATTCATCATGCAAAAATATCCTGAGGTCCAGTTAGATGACTCTTGCTTTAAACTAAGTGTCTATGACTTTTCTATAAAGCTTCTAGGCGTCACAGCTGGATAATCTGATTTTTTCATATCCAGAAAAATGTATAGCATTCTGTTTTTCATTCTAGGTTGAATTTAGTGACAACGCAGGGTAGCAACAGTCAAAAAGCTCATTGACTGGCATTGGTCTGAACCCCCTACAAAGTACCTCCCTCAGTGAGTCCCAGCTTAGATGGATCCTCCTGGATGGGGCCTTGGCCTGAAAAATCCCAGCATTCTCCCTGTGTCTCTCTACCTGATTTAGACCAAATGGCATTTCCATGCAAGACTCCAAGTGCCTGGAAATGTCGTTAAAGAATTGCAGAGCTAGGTTAAGGACCAAATAAAGGGAAACTTCATCTTGCCTGCACATCAACACCATGAAATGCGTTGTTACAACAGTGACCGAAGCTGTCCGATGATATCATCGGTGGCAACTGGTCAGCGAAAATGTTTTTTAATTGTGACTTGAATGTGTTTATCAGCCTTGCTTTGATATCGAAAAGACAGCAACAGAAACGCAGGGAGCCACAGTCCTCCGGGGAAAACATTAGTCATCTGTGAGTGTGCAGGCTCTGGCAGATGGTCAGCTCTTCTCCTGAAGTCAGACTTCCAAGCCACTGTGCAGCATCAATGCCAGGAACGAAGAGTGTTATCTTGACATTGAACATCTTTATAATAAAATTACTAATTGATGTCTAATACCATGGGCTTTTAAGCTGGAAAAAAAAATCTCATTGAGGCTGTTAAGTGGTCGGCTGCATATTCCATAATTTAAAACTACTCTTAAAATTCCTCCAGTTCCACACGTACACCACAGCTTTCTTAGATACTCTCCAGGTGATCTTGATTGCCTGGAGATTTTTTAAGCACAACCCTGAAGAGCTATTTTTAAATATTCAGTTACATCGTAATATCACAGTAGTTACATTCGTATTTTTTAACATCTTTAATTATACTATTTTGCATTACAGTTTCCAGGATTCCCCCCACCCCCTCATATTTGGCAACTCCACAGCATCTGTCAAAACAAATTAGCACTTTGGGTGGTAGAAATATATTTTTTATGAAAGCAGCAAATGTGTCAGTATCGGACAGAAGCTGAAACCTGATTTATTGGTTTGTTTTCTAGGGTTTCAGACCCAATAGGCAGAAGCTTTTGAAAGAATTTTTCATTTGCATCAACAGCGTACTTGCAAAATATGTAAAACACATTCAGATTCCGCCAGAAAGAGTCACTAATTATGATATGTATTTGCATATGTTTAATCACATATATATCTTATTTCATTTTGCCATTTCTGCAGGGCCCCTCGCTTCAGGGAGGGGGTCCTTGGCGCTGGTTCAGCCTGCACTCAGCAAAGTTCTCTCAAGTGAGCATTCTGCTCCCACGCTGTTAGTTTTTTGCGTTATCTTTTCCAATGAAATTTGAAATTTACAATTTTTAAATGACGTGTGTGAAATTATATGACTCTATTATGTCATAATATTATACATCCCAAAATATTGGTAAAGGGTTCTCCCCCTTCATCACCACCCTCCCCACCAGAGATCAGAGCATTACTGAGAAAATAATGATTAACCTTTAAAATCAGATTGGCATTTCTTTTTTCTCCAAATCTAGAATTAATACACATTTTTTAATCATTAGTGTAATGTTCAGGATGATACTTTTGTTCTTTTGCCTGTTGAACTGTTACGGCTGCTAGTAACCCTTCAAATTGTTTGCTTCATTCAAGCATTCTTTCCTGAATAATTCATTAGGCATTATTATCCAAGCGTGGAACCCCTCATTTAGCACTGCTGATCTTTTCCTTATGTGTAGCTGACAGGCAATCAAAGTTTTTATCAGTGCAGAAAATTTGCAATTCAGAAATGTAGTTGCAGCAATTAGTAGCTATCAGGTAGCATTGGAAGGACAGCTTCATAAAAAGACAGAGTTGAATGAGCTCCACTGATGTTAGCACAAAAGTAATGGGTAAAACTAACCAGCTGTTTCTAAATTTACCAAATGGAACATTCCCTTCTTCTCAGAGTGGAGGCTTTAATTAACTTGGAGTTCTGTGTGGCTTCCCAGAGGGGGAAGGGAGTGGGTGAGGACCCTTCCTTCACACCGGGCTGGTGCCGCTCTCCTTCCACTGGGCACCGATGGGAGGGAGCTCTGAGCTTCCCTCTAAGCCAGTCCTCATGGCAGAGAGGGCAGGTGAGGGACACTTTTGCCAGAGGACTCCAGACGGGGAATGCCTAGGAGATGCCAGGGGCTCCTCCTCTTGGCATCTCAGATGGGAGAGTTATGGATGCTGCAATTTTGTCCTGTTCTGAAACTTCCTCCCTTCACTCAAGTGCTCACCTGGGGACCCAGACTGAGGCTGAGGCCACAGGGCCGCCCTGGGGCTTATTCATTCCTTCACAGGCTGATGGATTCATTTCTTTGTGCATCCTTTCATTTCTGAGTTCATTTTGATTCATTCATTCATTAGTCCATTAGATAATTTATCCATCCCTATGTTCATCCAAACATTTACTGAAACCCTCAGTGGGATCAGAACTTGTGCCCACCCGTACAGCTCCTTGTTCGAGAAAAGACTCCCCTTTCCCTGGGAGTCTATGCAGGACTCTTAGGGCCTGAGCCCCGGAACTTGCTCTCATCTCAGGAAGAGGTCTAAGGAGGCCTTTTACACTGGAGACGAAGTGCAACTCTTCTGGGTGGGGTGGTTGCTTGGTGACTTATAAGAAGCAACAGAGGAATGTTCGGCAATAGCCCATGGGAGAGGCTTTGAAGCCACAGCATGGGAGTGGCCTCTTCTCCATGTCCACTTGAGGCTGCTACAGCAGGAGTTCATCCCGGAGATAGCCTGGGATGCTAAGAAAGGGGAGCCTGCTCTCCGTCTCCTGCGGACCCCAGGACCCCAGAGCCAGCGAGTGAGAGAACCCAGGCCCCAGAGGAAAATCCACCTAGGCCAGCAGGGACGACCAGGCAGCCCATGGCTGCCCAGACTCAGACCCCCAGGCCTTGTCTCAGTTTCAGCTATGTCAAAAGGTTGGATTAGAGAACAGAACAGCACAGTGTTTCACAGCCCAGACTCTGGAGTTAAACAGACCTGGGATCAAGTGCCATCCTTGTCACTTATAAGCTGCATTGTGGCCTTTTGGAGCCTTAATTTTCTCATTTATATAATGGGGTATTACTCTCTCCCTCATGGAGTTGCTATAAGAATTAAATGAAACAAGGAGTGTAACATGCTTGGTATAGATGAACATGTAGGTGTTCAATAAATGGGAGGAGCATTATCGCTAGGCTGTGAGTCTCATGAGGGTGAGGACCCTAGAGGTTGAGAGTGTAGCCGTGAGCTAGGGTGCTGGGTTCCAATCCTGGCTCCTCTCCTTATTCACTCTGTAAACTTAGACAAGGAACTTGACTTCTCTGTCTCAGTGTCCTCATCTACAACATGGTAATACTAATAGTACCTACCTTATAGAGTCATAAAAGATTAAGGGTTAAATGATTAGATATATAATATAACATTTATGTATATATTATAATTATGATTATATTATAAAATAATTATAATAATATAATTATATTATAATATATTATATAATATTATAATTATAATATATTGATATAATCATAGTATAATAATTATAATATCTTTTATATTATATTTATATTATGTATAAATTCTTAAGGCAGTGTCTGGCATAGTAAATGCTATGTAAATGTTCACTTTTAAAAATTATTTCATCTTCAAGGGCTGAACAGTGCCTAACTAGTGGCAGGCAGTTGGTTGAATATTGGTTGAACCAATGAATGAAAGTTCTTAGATATCATACCTCCCAACCCCTTCATTTTATAGATAAGAACTGTAAAGTCCACTGTGACTTGACCAAAGTTAGAGGCAGAAAAGTACCAGATTCCAAATCTCTGGACCAGCACCCTCCCCCAACTCCCCCTGGAGGGTACCTGGTCCTTGAGCCTTGGATGATGTTGCCAAGAGAGCATCCAGTCCTCTTTGCCCACAGCCCCAGCTCTGGCCAGATCTATCCTCTCTTTTCTACAGGACAGGCTACATGCAGGAGCTGGGAGAGCACCGAGCCAGGACTGTGGCCTTTCTGGACCTGCTTTGACCTTGGGCAGGTCAGCACCCTTCCCTGAGAACCAAGGCTGCAAGGCAGATAAGTTCTGCTCTTCTTCTAGTGCGACACCCAGCAAGTGTGGGTCTGGGTTCCCCATGGTCTTCAGACAGTTCTATTGTTGGGAAAAACAGAAGCAGCTCTCCCCTGGCGATCACCAAAAGCCATGATGACCATACAAGTGCTAGACCATCTTGTGTTAAGTCCTCATCTAACCCAGACTTAATTTTGGTCTTATGAGAATAATACATCTGGTTTTGTTTGTTTGTTTGTTTTTTGAGATGGAGTCTCACTCTGTCACCCAGACTGGAATGTAGTGGCGCGATCTCGGCTCACTGCAACCTCTGCTTCCTGGGTTCAAGTGATTCTCCTGTCTCAGCCTCCTGAGTAGCTGGGATTACAGGCGCCCACCACCACGCCCGGGTAATTTTTGTATTTTTAGTAGAGATGGGGTTTCACCATGTTGGCCAGGCTGGTCTCGAACTCCTGGCCTCAAGTGATCCTCCCACCTCGGCCTCCCAAAGTGCTGAGATTACAGGCGCATCTGTGTATTTTAAAGTAGGTTTGTACTCTCACATGTATAATCCTGTTCCATTTCTAACAGAGAGAAAGCAAGTTACTTGCTCAAGGGCACACAGTAAGTTTAGTCAAGAATCCATCTTCCAACTCCCAGTCTGATACATTTTCTACCATGCCACACACCTCCTCAAAGGGGAATGAACCCTTTGAAAGTTAGGAAACCAAGGCCAAGAAAAAGAGACTTCCAGGATATCATGCAACTATTTAAAAAGATAAAATAGATTCACATATTGACATGGAAAGATGTCCATTGTTGAGTGAAAAAAGAGGGTTATAGAATGTATGTAATATAATTGCATTTTTAAATATGCATGTTTTTAAAAAGTCTGGGAGAATATTTAACAAACTACTAACAGTGATTATTTCTGGGAACATGAGATAATGGGAAACTTTTGCTTTGACCTTGATTCATTCCTCTGTATTGCTTGATTTGTTTTACAAGGAGTATGCACTGCTTTTGGAATCAACAAATACAATGAAGATATATTTCTAGAGAGAACCACTAGACCAACAGGGCCTGAGAAAATGAGATCCCCTTTCAGAGTGGCTTGGTAGGCTTTAATGCATCATTATATTTAGTTCAGTCCTATGATGGGGCCACAGGGACATCAGACTAAGGCTCAAGAGAAGGAAGAGGTACTGGGTGGGGGGCCCGGGCTTCTCGCTATGGTTGTGGATGTGCATGTGGAAGGACATAGCGATAGAGCTGGGGCCCAGACAGAGCAGCTTTTACCAACAAAGTAGGAAGTGCCTGGCCCAGGCCCACAATCACAACAGGGCCCCAGGGCATGGCTTGGCATATCCCTCCCTGCCAATTTCTTCCCTTTGGGCTGAAAGGGGTAATGGACAAGGCCATTGTTCAGGGAAGAGAAGACAGACTTGACTCAGAAACAGGAGTAAAGTGATGAGGACCATGAAGTGACAGAGCCTGGGGGTCTTAAGGCCATCTTAGTGTGTTGGTGCAACCCTCTTGGAGGACAATTTGCTACTTTTTGGCATTCAAATTTGTCACACCACAGGTTGTACAATTTTAGCCTCCCAGAAAATGACCATTTTGCTCAAAAAAAAAAAAAGTCTATGTGGAAAGAAAAAAATTATACCCTTTGGCCCAGCGATTTGACTTCTAACAATTTGTCCTACGATAAATACTCAGAACACATTTACCTATGTAAAAAACGCTGCAAGTCCTGCACTTGTACCCCTGAACTTAAAGTAAAAGTTAAAGAAAAAATAAAATAAAATAAATACTCAGAAAAATGCACAAAGATATATATGTCCAAGGAGGTTGATTAAAACCAAGTAACAGCTGATGCACACCACACCTTCTGCTTCAGGAGCTTTACATACATTGATTCATTTAACCCTCGCAGTAACCTTAAGAGGTAGTTGTTATAATCATCCCCATTTTAGAGATGAGAAAACTGAAGCATAGAGAGGGTTAATCACTTGCCCAACATTCGAGGGCTGCTAGGTAGCAGAGTTGGAATTTGAACCAAAACAGTTGGGCTTCATGCTCTGTACTCATCATTGCTGCTACATGGTCTCTCATTGCTGTTTTTTTTTTTTTAAAGTTCTGAAAATCAACTAAGTGTCCACTAATAGGAAGTTGAGAAGTTGTTTAAATTATAGTCCATTGATACATTGGAATATTCTGTGGTTGTGAAAAGGAATGAGGTCAATCTATAGGGATTAATATAAAAAGACGTCCAAGATAGATTATTAAGTGAAAATTTAAAAGTATGGAATGGCATGTATGCTATAGAAATAGGTAGACATCAATACAATTGTGGCTATCTCTGAGAAGTAAGAGGAAGTAAGGAGCAAGTAGGTGAATTTTGTTTCTTTGCCTTTCTGCACCTATTCAACATTTTTACTATGAGCTAGTATTACTTTTGTGATTAAAAAAGTAAAATTAGGACTATCTCACACCCATTGGGATGGCTACTGTCAAAAAAAACAAACAAGTGTTGGTAAGGACATAGAAAAGTTAGAAACCTCGTACACTGTTGGTGGAAATGTGAAATAGTACAGCCACTATGGAAAACAGTATGGCGGTTTCTTGAAACATTAAAAATATGATTACCGTATGATCCAGCAATTGCACTACTGGGTACATACCGAAAAGAATTGAAAGCAGGGTCTTGAAAAGATATTTGTATACCTACACTCATAGCAGCAGCATTCACAATGGCGGAAAAGTGGAATCCACCCAAGTTGTTCGTGGACAGATGAATGCATAAACAAAATGTGGCATATACATACAGTGGAATATTATTCAGTGTTAAAAAGGAAGGGAATTCTGACACAGACTAACTATATGAATGAACCTTGAGGACATTACACTAAGTGAAATAAGCCAATCACTGAAAGACAAATCCTGCGTGATTCCACTTATTTGAGGTACTTAGTCAAATTCATAGACACAGAAAGCAGAGTGATGGTTGCCAGGGTCTGAGGACAGTGGAAAATGGGGAGTTGTTGTCCATGGGCACAGAATTCCCTTCTAGCAAGATGGAAATGTCCTGGAGATGGGTTGCACAGCAATATGAATGTACTTAACACTGCTGAACTGTACACCTAACAATGCGTAAGATGACAAATTTATGTTATGTGTATTTTACCATTTAAAAAAAAACCCTAAAGATTTGTTTGTTTTCGTTTTTAGGGAGGAAAATGGCATTTTTCTAACTGCTATTCCCTAAAGGCTTAATTGTACCCCCTGGGGCCTTCATCATTTTCTCTCACCCACTCAATAAACATTATAGAAAGATCCAGAAACTAAGAGTGTAAGTTTCAGCTATAAAAACAACCATCCCCATTTGTACAGCACTTTACACTTTACTGCACTCTTCTAGTTTGGTTCTCCTTGCCATCCTGTGAGAAGAGCAGGCTGGGTTTTCTGTCATTCTGATTCTATGGATGAAAACTGAGGAGTGAATTGTCCCATGTCAGAGGAGGGGTTCAGATCCCAGTCCTTTGGCTCCAAGCTCTCTAAACCCTGGGAAGAATGGAGAAGGAAAAGTATGGAGAAGGGAAAGGCTCTGAGAGTCCTGTGGCCCTGCACACTGTCGGCTGGAGGCCTGCCTCCTGGAAGGTCGTAATGGCTGCTGCCCTTGATTGCACAAAACAGCAACATCCCCTCCTTCCCAGAAAGCCTTTGGGTCTTGACTGACTTACTAACTTTTATATTTGACAAGTACGTCAACAATTTTAAAAGCCAACTATCATCTGCTGCCAACATTTTAATACCAAAAGAATAGTCCTTTAAATGGAGTAAGTTTATTTTCAGTTAAAAATTGCCATATTATCTTATCTTTTCACATTTCATGTAGCCTAGAGAAAAGTATGGCCCCCACCGTATTTGAGGCCCTCTTATCAATATTGATTGTGGAGTTATTCACTGTATTTGTTACTGATGATTAAAGCAACAATATGTGTGAATGAATTTTAAGTAATTTTGGCAGATTCAAAGTTATCCCATGTGGTTGCCAAAATATGCCCCTCCCATACCCACTGCCGCCCCCAGCTGCCAACCCCAAAGATGTCCACAATCCTAATTCCTACAACCTATGAATCTGTTGTATCATATGGCAAGTAGAAACTGCAAATGGAATTAAGGTTGCTAATCACCTGATCTTAAAATAGGGCAATTATCCTGGATTATTGGGGTGAACTCAGTGTAATCACAAGGCATCTTAAGTGGAGAAGAGTCAGAGAGATGGCATAGGAGTAAAGACTCATCTGACCATTGCTGGCTTTGAAGACAGAATGTGGCCACAAGCCAAGGAAGGAGGTAGCCTTTAAAATCTGGAAAAGGCAAGCAAACAATTCTCCCCTAGAGCCTGCAGAAAAAGCATAGCCCGGCCGACACCTTGATTTTAGCCCACTGGCATCCATTTAGGACTTCTGAGCTTCAGAACTGTAAGATAATACAATCGTATTGGCTTAAGCCAACAAGTTGGTGGTAATTTGTTACAGCAGCCACCTGAAGCAAATGCAGATTTCACGCAGCCTGGAGAAAAGTATGGCACCCATTTGCGTTTGAGGACTTGTGATCTACAACAGTTATGAAGTCATTCACAAATAATTTGTTACTGATAATGATTAAATCTATGTGTGAATGAGTTTTAGCAATTTTTGAGCAGATTCAAGAGTATCCCTATCACAGTGTTATTTTCCAAATTGCTTCCCTGAGTGAAAAAGACGGGGTTATAGCTGGGGCTGAAAATCATACAGAAATCATGAACGCATTTTTTTCTTTTGGATTGAGCATTTATTTTGTGCTCAAGACTGTCCTCAGTGCTTTATCTACATAATCACAGTTACCCACCCACCCCCCAAAACCTGGAAGGTAGGTACTATTCATATCACTCATTTACTTGCCCAAGATAATGCAAAGCTAGTGATCGAGCTAGGATTCGAACCTGTCATCAATGAGGAGAGTGGGTTGGGCAACCTCATGCCACTGGATAGGTGTGTTGTCATAGGTAGAGAAGGTTGAGAACCCTAACCTAGCACAGGAAGCCACACCGCTGCATATATCAGGGCCGCCTGCCCTAGCCGGGCCATACAACACGTCTGCCACTCCACTATCATCAAGCTGTGGCACTCTTTTCCCAATTTACAAAAACAAAACTTTTTAAATAATAATAATTTCAATGGAAAAGCATTTCTCAAGTTAGCTTCTTCTCTGACACATTTCTCTTAAACTTTTGTTACTTGGTTACCATTGTTTGAGTGTCTACGTGCCAAGCACTAGAGGGAGTAAAACATATTATTTGTCATTAAGTCCTCACCCCAGTATTTTCCGTCCCTTTGACAGATGAGGAAATGGAGTTTCAGAGACGTGAAGTAACTACTGCAGAGTTAAATAGCCAATAAATAGCAGGAGACTCCAGGGCTCCACAGTCAGATGTAGCCCTAAATTATCTATTTAATCCTTTAAACTTAAAACGTTAATGCTTCATGGTTTTCTGCAAAAATCCCAGTGACTTCCAAGTGCTGGACCTGAAGATTCCCGGTCTGGCATTTGCTCTTTCGATCATGTGCTGTCCTCATATGCAGTTTATTTATTAGGCCTGAGACATTGCGACTTAGCTCCAAGTTCCCTTGAGGCTATTTTCTTGAGACTTTGGAGGTTTCAAGCAAATCAGGGATTGGCTAACAAAACATTCTAAAACAGGTGAGTCATGGTTAAGTCTTACCCATAAGAGGAAGCCAAGTGTAAAGTCTGAGGGGATTCAAAGGACTCTCCCTTTCTCTCCTTCCTCACCCTGAAACCTGGCTGTGCTCCCTAGACACGTTCATAGTGGCAAAGTCATGGCTGTTTCAGCATATTAATAGGACGACTCTGGGAGCGATAAAGGCCATAGAATGGAGCCACTGAGAGAAGCTTTTGTGTCTCCAAGACTCCAACCCCTTTGATGAAACAGATGTTTGGGCCAGGCCCTCCTTTACAAGGAGAGTTAAACCTCAGTAAACAGCAGGAAAACCTCCTTGGTGGCAATGAACAGCCCACACGCTGGTCTTCCCTAGCAGCAGATGGGCTGGGGAAGGGGTGGCCTCCTGTCATCAAGCCCTGTGCCACCCGCTCAGAGACTGCAGAGCTGGTGTCTGTGACACGTGGTCGGTCACCTTGGAGGCTTTGATTTACGGTTGACTTTGGGAAAGACCAGCCTCTGACCTTGGCAGCCTGTTGCCTCACCATCTTTTCTCTAGGTTGGGAGAACTTTCCATCAAGATGGATGCACATCCCAAGTCTGGCCCCATGAAGGAGCTTCCCAGAGACCTTCTGGCTCAAATGTAGCAGGAAGGCTTGAAATGAAACCCTTTCCTCATCTGCCAGTGTCCCTGGAGCAATCTACAGACAAATGTAGGAAAATCCAGGACTAATATTGCCTCATGAGTTGAAGCTCAACATTTGAGAGTGCTGTATGTATCATCCACAGGCCCATGAAGCCTTCCTGGGTTTACTCTGAAGCATCAACTGCCCCAACTGCACAGCCAGGCTGCTCGAAAACAAAAACAAAAAAAATACATGGGAGTTACCCAAGGATGATTTTTCTCAAAATCTGCCAAGTAGTTCATTCAGTTTAGGGTGTGCGTTTGGGTAGGGTCAATTATTTCAGCAAAACTGTGGATTTAGCATTATCTTCCTTGAACCAGAAACATCTGCATAGGATGTATAAGCCAACAGGCAGTTAGAAATGGCCGAACAGGTGGGTGTAAAGAAGAAAAAAAAAATGTGTGAGCTATATTTAATTGAATACCAAAAATAGCTAATACATACTGAGCACTTACCATGGGCCACAAACTGTGCTAAGCACGTCATATGTATCCCACTCAATTCTTGCAGTGATCCTCTGAGGTTGATACTCTTATTATCCTTATTCTGTAGGAGATGAAACAGACACAGAGAGGTTAAGTAAGTTGGCCAAGGTTGCACAGCTATTAAGTGCCAAGCTGAGATTTGAACCCAGGCAACCAGGCTCCAAAGTCCATATGCTAACTACTATGATCGTCTTTAAAATCTGCCTAAAAGTAGATGGACGAGAGAGTTGCCCCTTTAAGACAAGTTAATCCTCGGTGTTCAAATTGGCTGTCTATGTGCATGTGTGTATGCGCAAGACACACGACTGCACACACTGTGAACTGAAACGTTTGGAGCTCCCAGAACCCCCCTGTTCCCATCTTATGAGTGCAGAGACACAGCTCTTCCCTCCCCAGGCATTTTGGCAGGCCAGAGGCCCGCTTAAGCCAGAGGCCTTGGCCGGCCAGGCTACCGGGAGGTGGCGCTGTGTCACTTTCCTACTCCGGAGCTTTTGTTTTCTGCGGGCTGCACGCTGGAGGTGGGGAGGCCAATTTGAGCAGAGCCTGTCGCCAATTTCCCTGATTTGAAATCTCACTCTCTTCTGTCACTTCCTTCAAATGAGCTGGGAGATGTTCAACAGATGACAGTCCTGAAAACGAGCCAAAACTGTTCTCTTAATCCCATCTCAAGATTTATTTGAAAAGGGTGTTTCCAAACAAGGAGCAGATTTCATGTGTCAGAATTACACTCACGCTGACCTCTTGGTTTTCAAAAGGAGAGAGGAAAAACACACCCAAACTCTCAACCACCTTGTAAAAACTCAGGTGATCATCGGGCCATGGGCTCAGGCCCTGTCCACAAGGAGGTACACAAATGCCCATTCCCCGGGAAATCCCAGGGTTAGCTGGAGGATCTACCTCTCTCCTGTGCACCACATCTCTCCAGGCCTCTGTGGACTTGCCGGTCCAAGGTGGCCCACCTCCTGCCGCCCTTCAAGAGGCTTCTCTCTAAGGAGCCGAATGCTCAAGGGTTCATGGCACTGCTGACATTTTGACATTTGCACATCAAATGAGCTGTACACTGACTTATCAAAGGAAGAATCACCCAACACGGTGATGCTTAGGCCTGCAAGGGAACCTCAAAGAACTTCGTCTGTCTCCCAGTTTTCTAGATGAGAAAATTGAAGCCCAGAGACAGGAAGTAAATCTCAACCTGGTAAATGGAAGAGCTGCAAGTGGCTCTCAGAATGCCCTGGCCGGGACAGCTGCCACCGCCTTAGGATAGAGTTTTAACCCTGAGGCACAGGAGGAGGAATGGAGCTTTGGAGTCAGACAGGCCTGGTTTGAATCCCAGTGCTTTAAGTATATTTGCATGACCCTGGGAAAATCACTAAATATTTCTGAGCCTCAGTTTCATCTGGAAAATGGGACAATATACAATCTGATCATGGGATTGTGATGAAGAGTAAATAAAATAACATACACGTAGGTTTCCAACATATGTTGCTTCATCCTTGTTTATTTTTTTGTTTTTTTGTTTTGCTTTGTTTTGTTTTGGTGTTATTTTAACCCCAATCGGAGAAGCTGGTTTCAGATTGGGGCTGACCCAATGGTAGGCACGCAGGCACCTTAAGAATCTAACTGTGCTTTGTAACTATCCTGTCCTCAGACCATCAAGCTACCTTGATCTTGGCTTGCAAATGTGGAGGACTGTCTTTTCTGTCTTTTGGGATCTGGAAACAAAGTTAGCCTTAGGCACAAGGTTTTAGGAGATTTGGGAAGGCTTACCATTCCTAAACCTTTCTCTTATCTTTCTAACGCCCATCCCTTGGCAAACATGTGTGTCCTCAATGCATTGAGTAAATGCTGTAATCTGGGCACATATCTTTCTTTTTTCAACAATCAAATACCCCCATGAGTGTGATGGTGATACCAACACCTTAGCATGAATTTTTTCAATTAGATTGCTTTCTTGCTAATGTCTGCATTAAGGAGATAGAAATTTTTATGAGGATGAGAGAATGGCTAAAAAATAAGGGATGTAATTTTTAAGCTGAGCTAAGGGGGTACCCCAAGAAGAAGCTTGAGCAGCAAGATGTAGCAGGCGAACAGTGTGGATAGAGAAAGAACACTGCAGGGAAATTCAGGGATCCAGAAATAATGGCAGGAGGGCTTCAGAGTTAACCTCATCAACCTGGAAAGTTTAGTGCAGCTGGTGTCTATGTGGGTGAGGTGACTCAGGACTACTGAAATGCCTCAGTCCACCCCTGTCCCCACATACATAGCATGTGTAAGGGCCTGTAGAAACGCCCTGAGCTTGGGCCTGACTCACAGACCTTCCTACGAAGCCATGAATTTAAACTCTTCCTGACTCAGATAAGGCATGTTTCTGATGGCTGACTTGGAGGAAGACTTTCATTCAAGCCTCAGTTATTTCACTCTATGCCAGGATAGGGAGGTGACTGAGACCCTCAAGAGAATCCCAGGCCATGAGATTATCCCAGATCTCAAGAGGATCCCAAGCCAATAGGTTCCGGTTTCCATGAGAGTACAGTGACATGTGTAGGTGACCTCTCCTCCATAAGAGAGGAGTACATGTCACGGTACTCTCATGGAAACATCTTCCCATAGCCTGAGAGGCCCTGCCTGACCCAGGCTCACCACCCAGCCCTTTCTGCAGCTCTGACCCAGCCAGGCTGGGATCTTCCTGCCTGACCTTGGGAACTGCTGCACCAGCCACTGCCTCTGCCAGGTACGCTCCTCCCCATGGTCTTCACAGGGTGCGCTCCTTCTCATCATCCAGGTCTCAGCTCAAAGGTCACCTCCTCAGAGAAGTCTGCCCTGCCCCACAAACCCAACGCCGCCCCACCCACCCTTCACTCCCTATCTATAGTGTCACTGGTCACTAACTATAAGCTTCGTGAGGGCGGGAGCTGTTTTGTCTCCACAGCTACATTCCAGCACACGATGAGAAGACACTCAGGAGGCTGGCAATAAAGACTGCTTTCTGAATGGATGGATTCCTCTCTCCCTTCGCTCTCCCTTATCTGTTCTCTCTCCTACTTTAGTGGGGTTGCTGTTGTTGCTGTTGTTGCTTTTGGCTAAATCATGCTCAGATTTCCAAGTGTAAAATAAGGTTGTTTTCCCTCAAGGCAGATATGCTTTCCAGCCACTATATCTTTTTCTTTCCTTCACATCTAAACTCCTTTCACAGATCACCCTCACTGCTCCAGCTCCACCATGCCTCCTGCTCACACTTCAGCAGCTCATAATGGGGCTTCTTCCTTCACCCCTAGGCTGATAAGATTCTCATGAGCAGGGTGTCTCCAGTAGCCACACAAGTTATACACTACACAACTCCAGGGGTCACCATCCCACAGACGAGGGTGTAGACGACTCCCCCTGGGGGTGTGCAGTGTGCACAGCCATGCCTGGCCACCGTGCTCGGGATCTATCTTAATCACCAACCATCTCCCTTCCTCAGGCTTGAGCCTCCTTGATCTCCTGGCAACACAACACTGTTGATCCTCTCCTCTCTGACCTGATGAAGTGCTACATTCTCCTGGTTTCCGCTCTACTCCTCTAAGGTCTCCCTCCAGCCTCCTTTCCAAATTCTTGCTACTCCCTCTTGCTAACTGGGTGTTCTCTCAGACTCTCGCCTCAGATCCACACAGCCTGCCTCAGAAATCTCTACCACAACTCCCATGGTGTCAACTCCCATGGTGTCAACAAATGACCTGCCTCTTCCCTTGTATTAGTCCATTCTCACACTGCTATAAAGAATACTACCTGAGACTGGGTAATTGTAAAGGAAAGAATTTTAATTGACCCACCGTTCCGCATGGCTGGGGAGGCCTCAGAAAATTTGCAATCATGGCAGAAGCAGGCACCTTCTTCACAAGGTGGCAGGAGAAAGAAGCATGAAGAAGGAACTTCCAAACACTTATAAAGCCATCGATCTTGTGAGAACACACTCACTATCATGAGAACAGCTTGGGGGAAACCACCGCCATGGTCCAATCACTTTCCTTCCTCAACACACGGAGATCACAGGTCCCTCCCTTGACACTTGGGGATTACAATTGGAAATGAGATTTGGGTTGGGACACAGTGCCAAATCATATCACCCCTCCTCACACACTGGCTGGACATCTCCACTTGACATGAGGGAGACTTCAAAAGCCAACTCTACCTGATGCCCAACCTTCCCAGGGTCTTGCTCTGTCTGGACCAGTATGGGGGCCATAATAGTAGGAATGTAGCAAGATGTGGCACTGGGGATGACGCTGGCATCCTGTATCTGGTAGAATCCTTCCACAGCACCCCTTTCCCCATAACTATCACCCAGGCCCACCTCATGCATAAATAGTTCCTCACGCTAAATGCTGGACTGGTGAAAGGGAGAGGAAAAACCCCCAGCTGAAACCGTCTCTGCTCTGAGAGACGGCCTGATTCCAGGGACTTCTTGGGTCACTGACACTCTTCACTGAGGAGGGAATCTGTCCATAGAGACATTGGAGGGAGCCAGCTCTGACAGGTACAGAATAAAGAGTTGGCAGGGACAGTGAGCATTTCAGAGAGAAGGAGGGAACCCCTGACAGCCGCCTGACCTGGGAGTCGGAGCCTTCTATTTACACTTGACGTCCATTGAGGATGCATGAGGAGAATGAGCACAAGACAAGAAAAGGGAAGGAAAAAGAGGGGGCAGATGCTTGCCCAGGCACCCACCTGTCAAGCTGTGGAGAAATAATGCTAGAGTCGGGAGCTGGGTCTGGGCCTTGCTGCCTCTGTCCTGGCTGAGGGCTGCCCAAGTCTAACAGACACATGTGATCCTTAAGCTGTGGCTCACTGGCCTCACATGGGAGTGGGCAAATTGCTCCCCAGAGACCATCTCAGTTGCTTCCGAAGCACTTCCCATTTTCGTGCCCCTCATAATTAATAGTGGTCAAACCCCAAGGCTACTGTACCTTTTCTGTATTTTTGTTTTTGAGTCTGTGGAAGACAGAAAGGAAGCCAGGGCTACCCTTGTTTCCTTTATGTTTAAGGACCTGTCTGGTTTTTACTGGACCCTTTCCAGAGATGGTACTACTTCCCAGGACAGCAGGTGTTTTCGATCAGAGTCCTTTCTGGACTCTGGAAATTCATCTCTTGCTGTACTGGGGTAATGTCCCACATGCCTGGGACATTCAGCCCTGAGAGAGCTGCACTGTCTACAGCAGCTGGACACACAGCTCAGTGACCAGCTCAAACCCAGAAATTCCAGTGAGAGGGAGCAGGTCTTACTGCAGTAGAGCCATGCTTCATTTGGTTAAGAGGCACAGCCAGGTACTTAAGCACAGCGCTACTCAAAGTTGGGCCTATGCACTGTGCCATAGATGGTTTGCTACTGCACCATAACATGGCAAATAGTTACAAAATATGAAGGTGAGCAACTAGAGACCTTTTTTAAATATAGCAGACACACATTTAATATTTTCATAAATTGCTAAACAGTTTTCTATGGTACCATTGGAATAATTTTACACCCCCACTAGTGATGTATGAAAGTTTCTATTTTTCTACATCCTAATTAACATTTAGGTATTTTTTCAGTCATTTAAAAAAATTGTCCACAAGTTATTGGGGTACAGGTGGTATTTGGTTACTTGAGTAAGTTCTTCAGTGGTGATTTGTGAGATTTTGGTGCACCCATCACCCAAGCAGTATACATACACTGAACCATATTTGTAGTCTTTTATCCCTTGCCCCTCTCTCACTCTTCCCCACAAGTCCTCAAAGTCCATTGTATCATTCTTATTCTTTTGCGTCCTCATATCTTAGCTCCCACATATCAGTGAGAACATACGATATTTGGTTTTCCATTCCTGAGTTACTTCACTTAAAATAATAGTCTCCAATCTCATCCAGGTCACTGCAAATGCTGTTAATTCATTCCTTTTTATGGCTAAGCAGTATTCCATTGTATGTGTGTGTGTGTGTGTATATATATATATATACACACACACACACACATATATATGTATATATATACATATATACGTATATATATATGTGTGTATATATATATATGTGTGTGTATATATATATATATGTGTGTGTGTATATATATATATATATACACACCACAGTTTCTTTATCTACTTGTTGATTGATGGGCATTTGGGTTGGTTCCACAATTTTGCAATTATGAATTGTGCTGCTATAGACATGCATGTGCAAGTATCTTTTTCGAATAATGAATTCTTTTCCTCTGGGTAGATACCCAGTAGTGGGATTGCTGGATCAAATGGTAGTTCTACTTTTAGTTCTCTAAGAAAGCTCCACACTGTTTTTTGCAGCGGCTGTACTAGTTTGTGTTCCCACCAGGAGTGTAGAAGTGTTCTCTGATCACCACATCCATGCCAACCTCCACTGTCTTTTGTATTTTTTTATTATGGCCATTTCAGGAGTAAGGTGGTATTGCTTTGTGGTTTTGATTTGCATTTCCCTGATCATTAGTGATGTTGAGCATTTTTTCATATGTTTGTTGGCCATTTGTATGTCTTCTTTTGAGAATTGTCTAGTAATGTCCTTGGCCCACTTTTTGATGAGATTGTTGTGTTTTTTTTTTTTTCTTACTGATTTGTTTGAGTTTGTTGTAGATTCTGGATATTAGTCCTTTGTCAGATGTATAGATTGTGAAGATTTTCTCCTACTCTGTGGGTTGTCTGTTTACTCTGCTGACTGTTCCTTTTGCCATGCAAAAGCTCTTTAGTTTAGTTGGGTCCCAGTTGTTTATCTTTGTTTTTATTGTATTTGCTTTTGGGTTCTTGGTCGTGAAATCTTTGCCTAAGCCAATATCTAGAAGGGTTTTTCTAATGTTATCTTCTAGAATTTTTATAGTTTTGGGTCTTAGGTTTAAGTCCTTAATCCATCCTGAGTTGATTTTTTAGAAGGTGAGAAGTGAGAATCCAGTTTCATTCTCCTACATGTGGCTAGCCAATTGTCCCAGCATCATTTGTTGAAAAGGGTGACCTTTCCCCACTTTATGTTTTTGTTTGCTTTGTCGAAGATCAGTTGGCTGTAAGTATTTGTGTTTATTTCTGGGTTCTTTATTCTGTTTCATTGGTCTATGTGCCTATTTTTATACCAGTACCACACTGTTTTGGTGACCATGGCCTTATAGTACAGTTTGAAATCAGGTAGTGTGATGCCTCCAGATTTGTTCTTTTTGCTTAGTCTTGCTTTGGCTATGCAGCCCCTTTTTTGGTTCCATATGAATTTTAGAATTGTTTTTTCCAATTCTGTGAAGAATGGTCATGGTATTTTGATAGGGATTGCATTGAATTTGTAATTGCTTTTGACAGTATGGTCATTTTCACAATATTGATTCTATCCATCCATGAGCATGGAACATGTTTCCATTTGTTTGTGTTGTCTATTATTTCTTTCAGTGGTGTTTTGTAGTTTTCCTTGTAGAGGTCTTTCAATTCCTTGGTTAGGTATATTCCTAAGTATTTTATTATTATTTTTTGCAGCTATTGTAAAATGGGTTGAGTTCTTGATTTGATTCTCCACTTGGTCGCTGTTGGTGTATAGAAGAGCTACTTATCTGTGTACATTAATCTTGTATCTGGAAATTTTGCTGAATTATTTTATCAGTCCTAGGAGCCTTCTGGAGAAGTCTTTAGGGTTTTTAAGGTAAATGGTCATATCATCAGCAAACAGTGGCAGTTTGACTTCCTCTTTACTGATTTGGATGCCCTTTATTTCTTTCTCTTGTCTGATTGCTCTGGCTAGGACTTCCAGTACTATGTTGAAGAGGAGTGGTGAGAGTGGGCATGCTTGTCTTGTTCCAGTTCTCAACGGGAATGCTTTCAACTTCTCAGAGGGAATGCTTTCAACTTTTCCCCATTCAGTGTTACGTTGGCTGTGGGTTAGTCATAGATGGCTTTTATTACATTAAGGAATGTCCCTTGTATGCCTATTTTGCTGGGAATTTTAATCATAAAGTGATGCTGGATTTTGTTGAATGCTTCTTCTGCATCTATTGAGATGATCATGTGACTTTTGTTTTTAATTCTGTTTATATCGTGTATCACATTTATTGACTTGTGTATGTTAAACCATCCCTGCATCCGTGGTATGAAACCCACTTGATCATGGCAGATTATCTTTTTGATATGTTGTTGGATTCAGTTAGCTAGTATTTTGTTAAGGATTTTAGCATGTACGTTCATCAAGGATATCAGTCTGTAGTTTTCTTTTTTGGTTATATCCTTTCCTGGTTATGGTATTAGGGTGATACTGGCTTTATAGAATGAATTAGGAAGTGTTCCTTCTTTCTCTATCTTGTGGAATAGTGTCAAAAGGATTGGTATCAATACCAATTCTTCTTTGAATGATTGGTAGAATTCTGCTGTTGGTTATTTTTTAATTACCATTTCAATCTTGCTGCTTGTTATTGGTCTGTTCAAGGTACCCAATTCTTCCTGATTTCAGCTAGGAGGGTTTGATTTTCCAGGAATTTACCCATTTTTTTCTAAGTTTTCTAGTTTATGTGCATAAAGGTGTTCATAGTAGCCTTGAATGATCTTTTGTATTTTAGTGATGTCAGTTGTAATATATCCAGTTTCATTCTTAGTGAGATTATTTGGATTTTCTCTTTTTTGTTGTTAATCTTGCTAATGGTCTATTAATTTTATTTTCTCTTCAAAGAACCAGCTTTTTGTTTCACTTATCTTTTGTGGGTTTTTGTTTGTTTGTTTGTTTCAGTTTCATTTAGTTCTGCTCTGATCTTGGTTATTTCCTTTTTTCTGCTGGGTTTGGGTTTGGTGTTTTCTTGTTTCTCTAGTTCATGAGGTATGACCTTAGAATGTCAGTTTGTGCTCTTTCAGTCTTTTTGATGTAGGCATTTAGGGCTATGAACTTTCCTCTTAGCACTGTCTTTGCTGTAATCCAGAGGTTTGGGTAGTTTGTGTCATTATTGTCATTCAGTTCAAAGAACTTTTTAATTTCCATCTTGATTTTATTTTTAACCCAATGCTCATTCAGGAGCAGGTTATTTAATTTCCATGTATTTGCATGGTTTTGAAGGTTCCTTTTGGTGTTGATTTCCAGTTTCATTCCACTGTGGTCTGAGAGAGTGCTTGATGTAATTTCAATTTTCTTAGATGTATTGAGGCTCCTTTTATGGCCTATCATATGGTCTATCTTGGAGAAAGTTCCATGCACTGTTGAATAGAATGTGTATTCTGTGGTTGTTGGGTGAAATGCTCTGTATATATCTGTTAAGTCCATTTGTTCCAAGGTATAGTTTAAATCCATTGTTTCTTTGTTGACTTTCTCTCTTGATGACCTGTCTAGTACTGTCAGTGGAGTATTGAAGTCCCCCACTATTATTGTGTTGCTGTCTATCTCATTTCTTAAGTCTATTAGTAATTGTTTCATAAATTTGGAAGCTCCAGTGTTAGGTGCATATATATTTAGGATTGTGATATTTTCCTGTTGGACAAGGCCTTTTACCATTACATAATGTCTCTCTTTGTCTCTTTTAACTGCTGTTGCTTTAAAGTTTGTTTTGTCTGATATAAGAATAGCTACCCCTGCTCTCTTTTGGCCTCCATTTGCATGAAATGCCTTTTTCCACCCATTTACTATAAGTTTATGTGAGTCCTTATGTGTTAGGTGAGTCTCCTGAAGGCAGCAGGTAGTTGGCTGGTGAGTTCTTATCCATTCTGAGGTTCTGTATCTTTTAAGTGGAGCATTTAGGCCATTTACATTCAATGTTAGTGTTGAAATGTTAGATACGGTTGTATTCATTGTGCTCTTTATTGCCTGTGTACTTTGGTTTTTTTGTCTTTTGTTTTTGCTTTTTAATTTGTATTTTTGTTTCATAGGTCCTGTGTGATTTATGCTTTAAAGAGGTTCTGTTTTGATGTATTTCTAGGATTTGTTTCAAGATTTAGAGCTCTTTTCAGCAGTTCTTGTAGTGGTGGCTTGGTAATGGTGAATTCTCTCAGCATTTGTTTGTCTGAAAAAGGCTGTATCTTGGCTGATAATTGTTTTGTTTGAGGAGGCTGAAGATAGGGCCCCAATCCCTTCTAGGTTGTAGGGTTTCTGCTGAGAAATCTCCTCTTAGCCTGATAGGTTTTTCTTTATTAGCTACCTGGTGCTTCTGTCTCACAGCTCTTAAAATTCTTTCCTTCCTCTTAACTTTGGATAACCTGAAGACAATGTGCCTGGGCAAAGATCTTTTTGTGATGAATTTCCCAGGTGTTCTTTGTGCTTCTTGTATTTGGATGTTTAGGTCTCTAGCAAGGCTGGGGAAGTTTTCCTTGATTATTCCTCCAAATATGTTTTCCAAACTCTTAGAATTCTCTTCTTCCTCAGAAACACCAATTATTCTTAGGTTTGGTCATTTAACATAATCCCAGACTTCTTGGAGGCTTTGTTCACATTTTTTTATTCTTTTTTCTTTGTCTCTGTTTGATCGAGTTAATTTGAAGTCCTGTCTTTGAGCTCTGAATTTCTTTCTTCTAATTGTGCAGTTCTGTTGCTGAGACTTTCTAGAGCACTTCACATTTCTAAAAGTGTGTCTAAAGTTTCCTGAATTTTTGACTGTTTTTTCTTTAAGCTATCTTTTTCCTTGAATATTTCTCCCTTCATTTCTTGTATCATTTTTTGGATTTCCTTGCATTGGGCTTTGCCTTTCTCTGGTGCCTCCCTGATTAGCTTAATAACTAACTTCCTGAATTCATTTTCGGGTAAATCAGGGATTTCTTCTTGGTTTGGATTCAGTTCTGGTGAACTAGTGTGATTTTTAGGAGGTGTTAAGAGCCTTGTTTTGTCATATTACCAGGGTTGGTTTTCTGGTTCCTTCTCATTTAGGTAGACTCTGTCAGACGGAAGGTCTGGGGCTGAAAGCTGTTGCTTAGATTATTTTGTCCTATGGGGTGTTCCCTTGATGTAGTACTCTCCCTCTTTTCCTATGGATGTGGCTTCCTGTGGGCCAAACTGCAGTGGTTGTTGTCTCTCTTCTGGGTCTAGCCACCTAGGAAGTCTAACCTGGTACTGGGGGTTGTCTGCACAGAGTCCTGCGATGTGAACCTTCTATGGGACCCTCAGCCATGGATACCAGTGCCTGTTCCAGTAGAGGTGGTGGTGGGGACAGGGTGCAATGGTCTCCTTGAGGGTTCTTAGCTTTGGTGGTTTAATGCTCTATTTTTGTGCTGGTTGGCCTCCTGCCAGGAGGTGGCACTTTCCAGAAAGCATCAGCTGTAGTAGTATGGAGAGGGACCAGCAGTGGGTGAGGACTCCCAGGATTATATGCCCTTTGCCTTCGGCTACCAGGGTGGGTAGGGAAGGAGCATCAGGTGGGGGCAGGGCTAGGTGTGTCTGAGCTCAGGTTGTCTTGGGCGGGTCTTGCTGCAGCTGCTGTGGAGAATGGGGGTGAGACTCTCGGGTCACCAGAGTTGTGTACCTAGGAGGATTATGGCTTCCTCTGCTGAGTCATGCAGGTTATCAGGGAAGTGGAGGAAAGCCAGTAGTCACAGGCCTCACCCGGCTCCCGTGCAAACCGAAGGGCCGGTCTCACTCCCAACTAGAGACTTTTATAGCAATTGGACATTGCTGGGTCATCCAAGTGCATAGCCATGAACTCATCTCATTGAAAGATTTAGACCAGGTTGAATGTCCACACTTGCACAATAAGTGCACAAGACAAGAGCTGTTATTAGTAATGGGCAATAGGATGTATTGATTTCCAAATCATGCATTGAATAGAAATTTTAAAATCTGATCCATCACCACAGACAGTTGGAGAAGCACTACTTTAATTTATGAAAATGTCTGAGGAGTAGTGCCATAAATAACCTGTTTATCTTTGTTAAATTCAGTGTTTCCCAAACTTATTTAACCATGAGGTATTTTGGGGTGGGAAGGATTGCTACCAGCATACCAAGGAAGTGCTGTATCTCAAAATACGCTTTGGAGAAGACACTCTAAATGGTGAGAATGAGTAAGTGGGTAATCCCTTGGTCCAGAATCTCTAAACATTTTCCAAGCCACAGGTCCCACTTGGCTAGATCAGTCAGGGCCTTAGGTAACTACTTCATTTGGATTAACTGGAATAATGTAACGACTGCTCCTGATCACTTGGTGCCTTGGAAGACCTTTTTTCCTGCTCCCAGGGGCCCAACTTTTACCCAGGGTGGGGTTGCAGGCACGACCAGCCCATTATCTCAAGCCTCCAGTTTTAATTAAATTACAAAATGGTGCACCAGAAGCACAACAGGACAATAAGCCCAGGTAAATTAGTGACTGAGGAAGAGATACTAACTCCTTCATGCCACAAGGGGCCCATTTACTATAACTTAGCACTGGACCAGGGCACCTGGGATCTAGGAGTGGAGTAACTTCTAATTCTTCCCCCTCAGTCCTCCGTACATTATAGACAAATATTGCACGTTCTCATCTTAAGCTTTACTAGTTATTTGCTGCTGTGAGCACCAAAGCATACAAAAACTTTTTCTTTCCTTGTAGTAAGTGGCATGCGGGTAAGTGCTTAACAACCAGCTCTCTGTGGAGGGTAGGGGGGAGCCCCACTTCATAGTGTTTGCCAATTTCTGTGGTGTAAATACTCCTACTATGGCCTATTTCAAGCTGCCATCCTGACCCAATTTAAGAACTGACTACCAATTTAAGAACTGATACACACAATCCACTCTCAGGAACCAGTGCCAGCCAGGCCACCTTCAGCAAAATGTTGCTGTAAATTCTGACTCTCATCATAATATTATAGCCTAATTTGTTGAACCATACAATGTCTGAGCAGGAAAAGACCTCAGAGATAATCTAGTCTAAACTTCCGCATTTGAAGGATATGGGACCAGGCCCAGAGAAGTGCAGTGACTTGCCTAAGGCAACCCAGCAAGTTAATGGCAGATGGGACTCAAATCCAGACCTTCTGGCTCTTTCATTCACACTATGCTTCTCTTTAAACATATGGTCTTGTTGATTCACAAAATAGTCAGGCAAGAGTTATTGTATCCATTTAATAGAAGGAGAAACTGAGAAAGGGTATTAAGAATTACCCAAAGCTACAGAGCTAATAAGTGCACTCATGTCTGTCTGACTTCCATTCCATTGAAACCTCTCCATTCCACCTTTTCTTGGGTGGATGCTACCACGAGACATGCTCTTCTACAGTCTTTCAGCTGCTAAAGAGTTTTGACCAGCAAGTCATGGATGGGTGAATTGTTCTGTTGACTTCCAGTCTGTTACCCATTAATTCTCTATCCTGAATATTACCTATAGCTGGCTTTAAAGATACATCTATTGGCTGGGTGCAGTGGCTCACGCCTGTAATTCCAGCACTTTGGGAGGCCGAGGTGGGTGGATCACCAGGTCAGGAGATCGAGACCATCCTGGCTAACATGGTGAAACCCCGTCTGTACTAAAAATACAAAAATTAGCCAGGCGTGGTGGTGGGTGCCTGTAGTCCCAGCTCCTCGGTAGGCTGAGGCAGGAGAATGGTGTGAACCCGGGAAGTGGAGCTTGCAGTGAGCAGAGATCGCACCATTGCACTCCAGCATGGGTGACAGAGCGAGACTCCATCTCAAAAAAAAAAAAAAAAAAGATACATCTATGACTTCTGTTAGCATACATGGTAGGCTGCTATAATAGAGAAACGCCCAAATACAATGGCTTAAACAATATTGAAGTTTATTTCTCTCTTACCTGAAGTTCAAGTAGAGAGCCTAGGTCTTTATGGTGGCTCAGTAATGTCAGGGGCCCAGGTTCTTTCTTTTCTGTTCTTCTGCTCAAAACATGGCTCAATATAAGGCTTTCATCTCATGGCCCAAAATGGCTGCTCCAACTCCTGCCATCATAGCTATGTGCCAAGCAGAGGAAAGGAGAAAGTGGAGGAAGAACAGGGCATGCTTCTTCTTTTTTTTAATTGCACTTTCAAAGGTTGCACGTATTATTTTTGCTCACACACCACTGGCAAGAAAAGAGTCACATTGTCACATAGTTGCATGGGAGGCTGAGAAATCTGGTTTTTAACTGAGCAGCTATCTCCTCAGCAAAAACTTGAGGGTTCTCCTGAAGGAAGAAGAGGAGAATGCACATTGAAAAATGATTAGCAGTTTCTGCTATGATGTCTGAGATGCAGGAGATACAGAAGGAATGAAGCTAGGAAAGAAGAAAGAAGGAAGATGTGGAAAGTAAAGGGAGCCACACACACTGTCGGAGAGTCTCGTGTCAGAAGAAGAATTGCAATCAGCCTTTGTCCTCTTCAAAGTCAAATACCTGTATCATCCTAAGAATCTGCATCATTTAGGAAGTTTTTGATAACTTTTAAAAATTTATTTTGAATGCGATATTCAGAAGGTGTTTTGTTTTGTTTTGTTTTGTTTTGTTTTTTTGAGACAGAGTCTCCCTCTGTCACCCAGGCTGGAGTGCAGTGGTGTGATGTCAGCTCACTGCAAACTCTGCCACCCGTGCTCACTGCAAACTCTGCCTCCCGTGGAGGCGGTTTTTAAATGTCCAAACATAAGTCCATGCTCTCTGATGTATTGTCAAATCCAGACTGTAAATGATCATGCCCTGTGGTGACAATGATCAGGCAGGTGGTTCAGTGCTTGAACCTCAGTTTTGTGGACTAAGTTGAGGTATAAATATAATTTTAATGTTATTGCCCATCTCTCTTTTGCGGAGCAGCCACTGGGCTCTGGGTTTTAGGCCCACTTCCACCCCAACACCTGCTTCTAGCCACCTTCAGAAGGGCCATAACTTGGGCATTAGTAAAAGGCCTAATGAAACAAACCAGATTAAGAGGCATACAACTTTCTTGAGTCTTGGCAATGGTCTGCTCTGTTCTTAATTACAGTGGCAGCACCTCTCAGGCCATCCGATTTCCTGCTTGAACCTGCCCCCGTTTGAGCTAAGCATAAGGAGTCAGGTGAAAGTTCAGATGCCCTTCAGAGGAAGAAAGCAAACTCAAGATTCAGCATCTCTGGCAGGGGTTCCTTGGAGGTATGCTTTGAATTGCTTAATCCTTTTAAACACTGTTAAGAGTGCATTACCTCCTGCTTAACTATTCAAAACCTCAGTAAAGATGGTTGTCTCAGGCTGGTGGAGTGGACAGATGGAATGTTGAAAAATCTTTCCAGTGAAAATCGTTCAGGAGAGCTTATTCTTCAGTGCCTCTATTTCCTCATCTGTAAAATGGGGGTAACAATACCAATTACAAAGGGTTATCAAGAGGTTTGATGAAAAAATGCTGCAAGGTGCCTACCAGGCATATGGTAAGGGCTCAGTAAGAGCTAGTTTCCTTCCTCCATCCAGAAGGCAAAAGCCTTTGCCTGTAGCCTCAGAGAGGCTGCTGTGCCTCCAATTCACAGCAGAGTAATAGGCAACAGGAGGACTCCCTATGCCTTCCTGGGGAGTCTTGTCTTTTCAGTTCAATCCCACCAGAGTGCATTAAGTGCCTGCTGAGTGCAAGATTTTCCCTAGGAGACTAGAAGGAGGAGTCAGACACCATCTCTGCCTGGGCTGAGCATGTAGCCTACCAGCAGGAGGACCAGGACAAGAGCACACATAAGTGTAAAGCAAGGCAGACATTTGACACTCTGGTACTTGCCTCATTACCTCTGAAAGCCCCATCGCATAGCAGGGAGTTAGCAGGATGTGGTTCTCATAAACCCCAAAGTGGTGATTTCCATATTCAGTAACTTTGATTTTTTTCCCCCCACTACCATTTATATTTTCTGTTTCAAGAGAAAAAGCTCTTTGGAAAATTCTCATGCATTCTCTTTCCCAGGCATAGAGCTGCTTTGAACAGCCCAAGTTAATTGGAAATCTCTCCTAAAATCATGCTGCACTTTCTAAGGCCATTTAAAAATTCATGATCAGTATTCAGATTGCCCCTGTGAATCCAGCCATTGGGGTCTTCACACTATTTAAAGTCACAGCCTGGTCTCCAAGAGCCACGTATCTAGTCCTATTATTAAAATGTCTATCTGCAAGTCACAAAAAAGACAAAGCTCTCAGACTGACAAAAGGCCTTCTCTTTGATTAAAAGCAAATCCTCCATTATGAGAAATGAAACTGCCTCCATAGATGGCACTAAACTTGACATCAAGGTACCTTCCTACCTGAGGAATCCAGGGGAGGGCAAGGAGCCTCTGAAGATAACAGTATTTAGGGCTTCATTAGAGCACTAACCATGCAGGCAGGAATTCCACTTGCTTCCTAGGCTGTCTCTCTTGACCAAGTTGCGAGGGCCAGAGTCTGACACAGGGCCTGGTTTACAGTGGATGCTCAGTAAGTATTTATTAAATGAATGAATAAATGAAATAATAAAATATGGCAAAAATTGGCATGAAAATGGGTGGTATCAAGACAAAACAGGTCATGAAAGTTCCCAGTGATCACAGCTCTATCACCAAATGATCTAAGAGACAGAATTCCCTAATTGTCAAAGTATAATCAATCATTGTGTTTTCTAGTTTCAATATTTGCTGCATTGACATCTTGGGACCTTGATGAATCTTGGGGAACTGCCCTTCCCAGGGTTAGACAATTCTTAGGGATAGTAAAAAAAACTCAGGCTGGGCACGGTGGCTCACGCCTGTAATCCCAGCACTTTGGGATGCCTAGTTGGGGAGATCACGAGGTCAGGAGTTCGAGACCAGCCTGACCAACATGGTGAAACCCCGTCTCTACTAAAAATATAAAAATTAGCCAGGTGTGGTGGCGGGTGCCTGTAATCCCAGCTACTCAGGAGGCTGAGGCAGGAGAATTGCTTGAACCCGGGAGGCGGAGGTTGCAGTAAGCCAAGATCGTACCACTGCACTCCAGTCTGGGTGACAGAGCGAGACTCCATCTCAAAAAAAAAACAAAACTAAACTAAACTCATCTACAAGTGCACTTTTTGTATGCAAACACATCCATTAAGAGCCCATAGCCCAACCACCTCCTTTGTTGAGTTCTCACACTCAGGGCTAATACCTACCTGCCCTAATCACTCCAGGGCTAGGTACCAGGTATCTAGAGACAGCCCCTATTCCTCAGAGCACACTGAAATTATTCAAACTAACCAAGCCTAAACTTGCTTATCCTGCCTTGCCCATTTCTTCCTGCAGAAACCACCATAAATGCCCTTGCCCATGTTTTCCCCTTGCTCCCTCTGCCTCTTGACCAACCCTAGTGCTTCCTTATGTGTCCCCAACCCCATAATGTGGCCTGTCCCCTCTTCTTGGGAAACTTGAGTAACAAACTATCTTTGCAATAGCCATCATCTCGTGATCTGTTGGCTTCATCATATCTGAATAATAATAAAATCTACATTTTAAAACACAAACAATAGATTTGGTCTTATAGACAGAAATGTTCCTATAGTAAGAAAGTTAAGGATATCAATATATTCATTCATTCATTCATCTACAAGCATTTACTGAGCACCCACTGTGAGCCAAGCACTCTGATAGGCTCTGAAGACACTGACCTATAGCCCTCTGATATGGTTTGGCTGTTTTCCCACCCAAATCTCATCTTGAATTGTGATTCTGATAATCCTTAGGTGTCATGGGAGGGACCCAGCTGGAGGTAGTTGAATCATGGGGCCAGGTTTTTCCCGTACTGTTCTCGTGATAGTGAAAAAGTCTCATAAGATCTGATGGTTTTATAAAGGGCATTTCCCCTGTACATGCTCTCTTGCCTGCTACCATGTAAGATGTGCGTTTGCTCCTCCTTCGCCTTCCACTATGATTGTGAGGCCTCCCCAGCCATGTGGAACTGTGAGTCCATTAAACCTCTTTTCCTTTATAAATGACCCAGTCTCAGGTATTTCTTCATAGCAGTATGAAAATGGACTAATACAGCCTGCAGTTATCCTGTACTGTGTTATATCTCTGTGCTTTACTGGTGCTGTTTCCAGTGTCTTTCCTTCCGCTCTCCTGCCTGGCTAACACCAAATCATCTTTCAAGCACAGCTCAAATGTTGCTTCCCCTGTTAAACCTTCCACCTGACTGCCTAAATTGGCAGACTTCCTGACTACACACTTCTTTATGCTTTTACTCTACTGTCTGCATTCGGCAAGAGGGTTATGATGAGCCAGGCATGGTGCCAGGCACATGAATATGGAGATAAATTATAAATAGTTCCTGGCCTCAAAGAGCTCATAGTCTGGGAAAGTATGTTGTACATGACTAATTGCAATAGAGTTTGCAGGCACCACAATTGTAGCACACGTCTCCAGATGACCTTGGCTGACCCAGCTCTTCCCTCTCTTGCTTGCATTTCTCAGGCAGGATGGACTAAGAATGCAACATCCTGAGATAAGGAGGAAATGTCCAAAACAACCAGGGCTATGTCCTTATTCCTTCTAGAACTGGATATTCTGCAACACTGGTGCTCAGTGAGCCAAGTGACGCCCAGAGCACATAAACCCAGGCCAGAGCAGAGTGATTTTGAGGCCCCTCAGTTGTGGTGCAACATGGGGCACAGGGAGATGAGACTCCATCTACCCTGGGCAGCTTTCCTGAGCCCTGCTGGACCGGCTCACCATGGATCCTAGGCTTCCGTTTATCCTTGCTGCCTATCTATGAGTAATAAATCTACATGGCCTAAAAATAAGATTCAACAAGAAACAGAAAAGATAAAGAGCCCTATATCCATTTTCAAAATTTAATGTGTAGTCAAAAGTGGCTCCACAAAGAAAATGCAAGGTCCACTTGGTGTTACAGATCAGCACTACCAAAATTTCCAGAACAGATTAATGCTAATCTCACACAAATAGTCTGGAGGATGAAAAAATAGAGGAAACACTGCTGAAATTATTTTATGGGGCTAGTTTAAGTATAATGATTTTAAATCGTGTCACACGCTCTTTGAAACTTCTTCCTTGAAAAGGTGAAGTCAGCTGGGGATGGTGGTATGTGCCTGTAGTCTGAGAAGTTCACTTGAGCCCAAGAGTTCAAGGTCAGCCTGGGCAGTTCAAGGTCAGCCTGGGCAATATAGTGAGAAAAAAAGGGTGAAGTCTCTGTGCCCTCCCCTGAAACCTGATGTGACTTCCTCAGCAAACAAGATGCAGCAGAAGAGGTGCCATATAACTTCCAAGATTTGAAAAGGCTATGCAGCTTCTACCAGTTTCTGTTGGGATATTTGCTCTGGAAGTCTCTGGGAGCTCAATGACTTGGAAACTGCCATGCTGAAGAAACCAAAACAAATAGAGATAGAAAGAGATACCTGTGAGTCTCAGCTTTCCAGCTCCACCTGTTTGAGTCTTCCCAAATCAGGCAGCAGGCAAATGAGCAAGAAAGCCTTTCAAGTGATTCCCAGCCACCCTCTGGCTGCAAACACACAAAAGATCCCAATCAAGAGCCACTTAGTTGAGCCCTGTCAACCCCCAGAGCCATGATAGATAATAACAATAAATAATTGTTGTTGTTTTACACCACTCAGTTTGGGGTAGTTTTTTACGTACAACAAATACCTAGAACAAATTTTTATGTAGCAGAAGATGACCAAAACATTAACCTTGTTATCCAGACTAGACAAAGAATCAAAACGAAAGTGACGGGCTAATCTCATTCATGAACATAGATACCAAAGTCCTAGACAAAATATTGGCAAGCTGAATCCAGCCATGTATAAACAAAGATAATGCATAAAACCAAGTTGGGTTTATCCCAAGAATGTAATACTAGAAAATTGATTAATGAAATCCACTCCATTTACAGATTAAAGGAGAAAAAAAACATGATCATTTCAGTAAACACAGAGAAAAGTATTCAATAAAATGTAACATTAACTCATGTTTTTTTTAAAACAAAAGTCTTCTTAAACTAGGAATGAGAGGGAACTTCCACACCCAATCATGGGCAACCTCAAAAATGAAAGAAAGGAAAAACAAAAAACTACCACAAACATCATTCTTTATGGTGAAATGTTGAAAATGTTGCCTTCAAGACAAGGAAGGGGACAAGAATGCTCACTATTAACGTACCTATTCAACTTGGTACTGAAGGCATCAATCAGAGAAGTATAACCTCAAAAAGACTGGAAACAAAACAAAAACTGTCATTATTTGCAGATGACTTAATTACTTACCTGGAAAACATGCCAAATGATGTATAAAAATGTTAGAATTGGAGAGTTTATCAAAATTCTATAGAAAAACAATATAAAAAGTCAATTGCATCTCTAAACACCACCAAGTTAGAATATGCAATTTTTAAAGACACCATTTACAACAGCAAGAAAAATATAAAAGAGATAAAGTGTTAAAGCAAATGCAATAAAATGTTAACATTTAGAAAATCTGGATGAAAAAATCTTTGTACTACTTTTATAACTTTTCCTTCAGTCTGAAATATAAAAAGCCTTTTTTTTTTTTTTCTGAGATGGAGTTTTGCTCTTTTCGCCCAGGCTGGAGTGCAGTGGCACCATCTCAGCTCACTGCAACCTCCGCCTGCTGGGTTCAAGCGATTCTCTTGCCTCAGCCTCCCGAGTAGCTGGGATTACAGTTGCCTGCCACCACGCCCAGCTAATTTTTGTATTTTTAGTAGAGACAGGGTTTCGCCACTTTAGTCAGGCTGGTCTTGAACTCCTGACCTCAGATGGTCCACCCAGCTCAGCCCCTCAAAGTGCTGCGATTACAGGCATGAGCCACTGCACCCAGCCCAAAAGTTTTAAAATGTAAGAACTTCTTGCTCATTTTAAAAAATGCTCTGAATTAGCCAGGCATAGTGGTGCATGCCTATAGTCCCAGCTACTTGGGAGGCTGAGATGGGAGAATCTGGGAGGCAGAGGTTGCAGTGAGCCGAGATCACGCCCCTGCACTCCAGCCTGGGAGACAGAGCAAGACTCCATTTCAAAAAAAATAAATAAATAAAAATGCCCTGAAGAGAATAAAAAGACAAGCCTCAAATTGAAAATACATTTACAATACATATAACTGATAAAAATTAGTGATATGGTTTGCCTCTGTATCTCCATCCAAATCTCGTCTCAAATTGTAATCCCCATACTCCCCATGTGTTGAGGGAAGGATCTGGTGGGAGGTGACTGAATCATGGGGGTGGTTTCCTCCATGCTGGTCTCGTGATAGTGAGTGAGTGCTCACAAGATCTGATGGTTTTATAAATGACAGTTTCCTCCGCTCTCTTTCCTCTCTCCTGCTGCCTTGTGAGGAAGATACTTGCTTCTTCTTCCCCTTCTGCCATTACTGTAAGTCTCCTGAGGTGTCCCCTGCTATGTGGAGCTGTGGGTCAATTAAACCTCGTTTGTTTATAAATTACTCAGTCTCAGGCAGTTCTTTGTAGCAGTGTGAAAACGAACTAATGCAACTAGCATTCAGAAAATATAAAGAACTCCAAATCAATATGAAAAAGGAAACCCAAAAGAAAAAGGGGCAAAGGAGTTGAACACATATTTCATAGCAGAAGCAGCACAAATGGTTCTTAAATTTATGAAAAGGTGCCTAAACCTATGAATGATCAGTAAATGCAAATTAGCATTCCAAGAAAATACCACCAGAATGGTGAAAATTTACAAACTGGTCAATATCAGGATGGAGAGATTGGAGAACAATGTAAGCTCTCATCCACTGCTTATGGGAATTAAAATTGGTACAGTCCTTTGGTAAACACTCTGGCATTATCATCAAGAGGAACCCATGCTTACACTCTATCAATTCCACTGGTATTTACCCTAAAACACACACGTGTGCACCAACAGGTACATACAAGAAAATTCACAGCAGTGCTGTTAGTAAAGCCAGAAACAATCCAAATTCCCATCAGCAACAGAATGAATAAATAAATTGTGGCATATTCACAAATTGGTAAGCCAGGTAGCAGTAAAATTGAATAAACTACATCTACATGAATCAACTTGGATAAATCACTAAAATATAATGTTAAAGAATCAAGTCACGGGAGAATAGATAATGCATTATTCCATCCTATAAAAACAGGAAATACTAAAGCATATACATATATAGATGATAAAGAAAAAAGAACAAGAAACCTCAAACAAAATGATAACAATATTCTGTTTCATAAGCTTGGTGGTGAATACATAAGAATTTGAATACATAAGAATTTGTTCTCTCATTATTCTTTAAACTGCATATACATATACATATTATACATTTTTATGTGTATGTTTCCTAATAAAAGTCTATGAACATATAAAATACCTATGACACCTGCTCTTAGGGTTGGGAGTTGACCTCATTTTCTATGGGTGGCACAGTCATCAGTAGGCGAGTCCTGTTATAGCCACTGTGGACTTCCTTGCTGCATGCCTTTGAGCAAGTTTCTTAACTTTTCCAAGCTGTGAAGTAGACAACCACACCTACTTCACAGGGCAGTTAATGAGCATTAAATGAAGTCATTGCCATATAAAATACCTAACACACAGCAGGCTTTTGATAGGTGGTAGCTTTCTAAAAAGTGGTACTCTAACAAAGTCACCAGGAACTTCTAAACACACTCTTACATGTTCTTTCCCTAATTACATTAATAACAACCAAGCAGCAGTCTCCAAGAGAGCGCATGTAGGTCACAGTATTTTTGTTTTGGTGTAGGATCATTCTTATTTGCGGTGTCATGACTCCTACCAGGCCCTGCATCTCCTGCTTCCCAGATGCACCAGAGGTTTGCTCGTTCATAAACATTGCTGCAGCTAGCTGAAAGCAGCCCCAACCTATTATTTAGCCTTATTTTTAAAAAATACACACTGTGAGCTTGGAGTTATCTCTCATTATGAAGAAATTGCAGTAATGATCCTCTGTACTTAACATTCTGGGATACTTTTCTTTCTCAAAACAAAATTTTAAAATTCCTTGTACACTTGAAAATTAAACATATGCAGTCTGAGCTGAGGCCAGAGCCGCCCTGGACAGGTAAGTTCCTTGGTTGAATTTGACCCCAGAATATTGGCTTCAGGAAGGTCAGAATGAGAGGCCAGCAGCACTTTTTACCTTCCTGACTCCCCAGTTATGCCATGCAAGCCCCTCAAAACCAAGAGTGTATCTTACCCATTTATGTATCGCTTCATGCAGGCCTGGCATATAGTAGGTGCTCAATAAAAGTTTTCTGAACTGAAATTAATTGCCTAAGAAAAAATTTGAGGTTCAGCACAGTGGTTCACGCCTGTAATCCCAGCACTTTGGGTGGCTGAGGTGGGCGATTCGCTAGAGGTCAGGAGTTTGAAACCAGCCTGGCCAACATGGTGAAACCTCACCTCTATTAAAAATACAAAAATTAGCTGGGCGAAGTGGGGAGCGCCTTTAACCCCAGCTACTTGGGAGGCTGAGGCAGAAGAATCATTTGAACCCAGGAGGCAGAGGTTGCAGTGAGCTGAGATCGCGCCATTGCACTCCACCCTGGGTGACACAGTGAGACTCTGTCTAAAAAAAAAAGGTGGCCAGTGTCTGCAGGTGGATCCAAACAGCCATTTGAGAATCAGCAGCAGCTTTTTACACCTTTGCAGGGTACGTGGCACCATGAACTAGCTAACTGCATGGACTAATTAATTGTTTGATTAAATAATTAATTTTTTGGTGGCTGGGAACTGAAGATTACTGACAAACAGAAATCCAACAAGCCGGCTGGAACATGGCAGTAAATGGACTTCCCTGAACTATGAGTTCAAGGGAGTGAGGGTTGGGGTGCTGATGTCTAAAACAAAGACTGTCTTTATCTGATTTTACTATTGCTGTCTTTGATGGAAGTTATCTTCCAGCAGTCACTAAGGAGCCTTGTTGGCACTTGTAAATCATTCCCATGTCGAGGAGCAGTTCCTAAATCCTGCCCCCTCCCCAATATCAGATATCCCTGGATGAGCCAAGATCATGGGGGGGCTTTTAACCCTGAACTCTAGCTATGATAAGAGCTAGACAAGAGCTCGGTTGAAAAGGACCTTCCTTGTTAAGTCAACTTAGATTGTAAACCAGAGTGCTGGGCGGAAGGTGCATTGACTTTAGTCACTCAGGATGCATGCCTGAAGCTGGGGTGGAACGAGCTCCCCCATGTGTGGGAGTCGTAGTTTTCCTAATAAAAATTAGGGTACTGTTACCAATTGTACGGGAAGCTGGGCCAACCAAAAAAGCCAATGTCCACTACCACAATTGGAAATGTGTCTGAAGATGACTAATTTGGGGTGGTGACGTGTGGGGTCACAATACCTCATTGGAGAAGGGACACAGCCCAGAGGCCTAGGGTGGCCACTCACTTGGTACTTGACTTTGAGCCAATGATTCTCTTTGGCCTGCCATTTTCTCCTCTGTAAGAGGAGGGGACAGAGCTTGGTCATTCCAAAGCCTGCCCAAGTCCTAACATTCCACAGGGCTCCTATTTCTCATCCCTGCCTGTCACCTGGGCATGTACAGGAAAGAATAGCTGTGGACACTGAGATCACCCTGGCAGTGGTTCTTTTACACCACAAATATGAGCTTGTTTCTTACTACTTGTGAGGGGACAGCTTAATTGAGATTAAATTATTTTGTGGTTCCTTTTGTCTGATGCTAATGGTGTGATATTCTTTTCTTAATTTTTATTTTATTTAAAATAGAGATGGGGTCTATGTTGCCCAGGCTGGTCTTGAACTCCCGGCCTCAAGTGATCCTCTGCCTCAGCCTCTCAAAGTGCTGGGGTTACAGGCATGAACCACCACGCCCAACCTGGTGGGGTATTTTTAACCATTGTTTGAAAATTTGGGAATTTCAAGTGTCCCTGCACTTTTCTCAAAGCTTCTAGGTATGCAACTTCTTCAAATTTCATAAACGGGATAAAAAAATGCCCTATTTAGGAAAAACTATGAATAAATGGAATGGACTAACCTGATTTCTTCCAGGGCAGGAATGTGTCTTAGTCAGTTTTGTATTACTGGTATCTGCTGTAATGCTTGGCATATAATTAACCATTTCATTTAGTGTCAGATATTTAATGAGCACCTACTATGTGCCAGGCACCTTGCAAGACCCTTGGTATACAATGATGGATGAGACATCCTTAAAGAGCTCCTGATCAAGTAGGAGACAAATGAGTTAAAGACAAATATGACAGTAAGGTAATCATGAGGAGGGGAATAAGAACCAAGGGTAACAGAAAGCACCCCCAGCTCAGTTCTGGAGAGTCAGGGAAAACCTTTGTGTTGCTGTCATCCAAGCAGACACCTAAAGCTAGAACAGGAGTTACTCACACTGGAGCTCCCCAGTCGAGGTACAGCATGAGGAGAGAGAGACAGACAGAGAGAGCAAGAAAGAAATATGAGGGCTGGGGTGGGAAGGAAGCAGAATCCAGACAATGAAGGGCCTTGATGTCTTAATAAGGAGTCACCTTAAGGGCAGTGGGCAGCCAGCTGTGATTTTATGCAGGGAGTAAATATATGTACATTGATTAATAAATACTGGTGTCTTTTTACGCATGGAATTTTCCTCATCTAAAAATACAGGGGTTGGATTAGATGATCGCTAAGATCCCTTCCAGTTGTGACATTCTGCAAGTCTCTAAGTTTCCACTATGATTCAGGTCAAGGTCTCTTGATTTTTGCCTCCTCTCACCAGCGGCAGAGGTTACCCTGAGCAGCATAATGGAATCAACAGCACACATGGTCTCCTTCTCACCCTCTGCTAGACAGATGAGCACGTTCCATTACAGAGGGTGAGACGGCTTCCTTCGTGACCAGCCTTGCACCAATCCATCCATCAGCCGATTAACGGTGGCTAAAAGCCACTTATCGGAGGGCTCCTGCCCTTATCACTGTCACTGGCTGCAAATAAACATCGACTTTATGCCGAGTTTCCATATTTAACCACATTTAAGTAACTGCTGATACTTTCATTACATGACATTTGCACTTCAGAATTCAAGATTAGACACATGCACAGAGCTCTTGCACCAAATAGGAAAGCCCAGTTTGTTTGGGGGCCTTCCTGCCATTTCTTTTCAAAGAAAGGAAGCTTCAAAGTGAATTCCATAGAACACAAGAATCTCTTGTACTCTAAAAACAATATCGACAAGAAACAGATCAGGACGATGTAGTTTTATTTTTATTTTAAAAGGTCGGTGCCTCATGTAAAAGCTGTCACACATCAATAATGGATGAGATGCATAAATGATATATCACAGTTGAAAAATTCAGTCCTCTGTGGAGCAGAAAAAATCTTTCTTTTTGAGCTGAATTTTACAATATAAAAGCTTAATACCACACACAAATTCATTACTTGATGATGAAAAATAATGCTTTTCTAGCCTGAACACTAATTAACAAGCATATTGTAAGGGCTTAGATAGTGTGAATGCAAATTCTGGGCCTCCATGTTTAAAAAATGGGGTCAAATTTACTCCTGGGCAAATAAAATACTTTAATATGATTTTAAGCTTAAAAATGAGGCGCTGATGTTCATCTTGTGATAATATACGTGACTTTCCAATCTATCATTTTTCTTATATTCCCTTTTTTTTGTTCTCGTTGGCTTGAAAAATTTTTATCTCTGTCCCTTAGCATAGCATCTGAAACAGGGTAGGTGCTCAATAAATGTGGTTTATATGAATAAAAGAATAAATGACAATTGCTTAATGTTTTTGGATGCTTACTGTGTGCCAAGCAATGCGCTAAATATTCTACATGCATTCTCTTATTTAATGATTGCAAATAGCCTTTACCTGGGTATTATCAACCATCCCATTTTGCAGATAAGGAAATTGGTTCCTAAAGAGGTTCAATAACTTGGTGTGGATATGTGGCTAGTGATGCTGGTAAGTGGTGAATCTAGATCCAAATCTGGCTGTGTTTGAACCCGGAGCCTCTATGCTTAGCTGTAATAGGACAATGAATGAATTCATAAACTTGCTCTTCTGGGCCAGTGAAGGAGAGGAGAATATTAATGGATTTGAGGGTTCAAAGTCACTAAAAATAAAAGGGACTAACATCTTTTGCCATCATGTAAAAAATATAATACAACTATCATGCTCCTTCAAGGTCAATACCTAATACGGGCTCCATAAAGTGCTAATCTGCACTGTCCAATAATATGGTAGCCACTAGCTACATGTGGCTATTTCAATTTCAATTGGCCAGAATTAAACAAAATAAAAAATTCATTACCACAGTTGCATTAGCCACATTTCAAATAATCAATAGCCACTTGTGGCTAGTGGCTACTGTACAGGACGGTGCAGACACAGAACCTTTCCTTCATCATGGGAAGTTCTGTTGGACAATGCCAGGTGAGAGTGCATGGACACAGATATAAATAGCACACAGACCCTGCCCTCCAGGAGCTCAGTGACTACCCGGGAGTAGAGCATATAAATTCATAGCTACCACCCAGGAAGATAATGTGAGGAGACAGAAGAGGTTCTGAGCCCAACTTGAAGGGGATACAGAATAGGGAAAACAAAAATAGGAAAGCTTCAGAGAGGAACTGCCACCTGCTCTGAGTCTTGAAGGAAGTGGAAGAAATTAGCCAGCAGAAAAAGATGGGCCCTCAGATGGGAGTGGGGGAGCTCCAGGCAGAGGGAACCGAAAGTTGAAAGGCCTAAAGCTGAGAGTGGAAGCAGGTCATTTGGGATTAGGACATCATGGGAAAATGAAGAGAGATGAAGCTGGCAGGGAGGCTGGGATGCCAGGGTAAGAAATCCCAGTGTCCAGGATGTGGCAGGATTCAGAAATAGGGGGCACCAATAAGGGTTGTGTGCTTTAAGCCTAAGAAGACTGTGTAGCAAAGGGGCCGGAGAATACTTTGCACTAGATTCCACAGCAAAGTAAAGCTGCAGACTCTGCTCAGGTTAGCCTGGGCTACTCAATATCTAATACCTAGGGTAATTCTAAAAATGAGCCCTAAAATGATCTCAGAAGAGAGAGCAAGAGAAAGACAGAGAGAGAGAAAGACACAGAGAGAGACTTAGAAGTGGGAGCTAAACATTGGGTACACACAGACGGGAACAGCAGATGGGAACAGCAGATGCTGGGGACTCCAAAAGGAGAGAGGGAAGGAAGGGGACAAGGATTGAAAAACTATCTATTAGATAGTATGCTCACTATTTGGGTAACCGGATCAAGAGAAACCAAACCTCAGCATTATGCAATATGCCCATGTAACAAACCTGCACATGTACCTCCTGAATCTAAGATTTAAAACAAACAAACAAACAAAAAGGTAAGTTTCCTTGAAACAGTCCTGTTTTTCCAATCATTACATAACCAAGAGACTAGAGAGCTGGTAGACTGCCACACTTTTAAGAATTGAGTGGAATGTGAATTGGAAATAAAAATTAAATATCACTAAAACTAAAAAGAGAAAGTATGAGTGTGTGTGTGTGTGTGTGTGTGTGTGTGTGTGTGTGTTGAGACAGAGAAAAATTTTAACATCATATACCTCTCCAAATGCATTTACAGGTTACTTTGGAGTTTGACTGAGCCCTTCTTCTTGAACTCCAATTCTCAAAAAGGACATTTGCATATTATTTCTCGAAAATGAAGCTAGAGTAAGTGAAATTCAGGCATCCACCAGAGCCTTGCTAGTGACTGTGGGAAGGCCAGAGAGGCTTTCTGTGGAAGCACACCATTGGTTGAGATAATCACTGGAAACAATCATTCCTACTCACTATGTTTCTCATATGGATAATTTGGATATGACATGGGAATGGTTTTGCAACTTACAATGGATCTTCAAACAATTTTATCTGAATTTCAGAAATTTTCAAGATTTGTTACTATGTTGTTGATTTTTTTTTTTTTTTGAGACAGAGTTTCACTCTTGTTGCCCAGACTGGAGTGCAATGGCATAATCTCGGCTCACTGCAACCTCCGTATCCCGGGTTCAAGTGATTCTCCTGCCTCAGCCTCCCAAGTAACTGGGATTATAGGCATGCGCCACCACGCCCAGCTAATTTTTTTTGTATTTTTAGTAGAGATGGAGTTTCAGATGATGTTGGTCAGGCTGGTCTCGAACTCCTGACCTCAGGTGATCCACCCTCCTTGGCCTCCCAAAGTGCTGGGATTACAGGCGTGAGCCACCGTGCACAGTCGATTTTAAAATTTGCATTGATTTCTGCCAGCTACTCCTGTTCTGACTGCATATAATATTGAAAAGAAGGAAGTAAGTTAAAGAATCAGCTGTAGTGAATTCAACAATATATTATAATGGGTTACAAAGTAGCATGCATTGTATGGAGTTTAAAAAGTAAGCAATAGAAAACACAAATTTTTGACAAATGTGCAAAAAGTTATAACATAGATGAAAATACATCCAAATGAGCAGAGCAGACATTACAATGAACTGAAAATAAATTTGAAATGAACAAAAACTTCGAACAACCTTCTGAAATTTCTAGATACTTTTTTATTATTCCTTTCATGCTTTATTACTTAATTTTTTATAATATCCAAACCAGTATAATATCAAAACCAGTATATGAAAATCAGAATATAGTATTTAAATTATAGTTAAACCATCAGCTTCACTCAGAGACATCCTCCGTTGTTAATTCCATCATGTTCATCCATGCAGATACATTTCTATATGTATACATATAAAACACATGTATGTTTTAGTCAGCTCATCCCTAACATTTATCACATACAGTATTAACCAATCTCCAGTTTGATTACATTCAGGTTGTATATTACAAACAGTACAAAGATGAAGTGCATAAATGAAAATAAATTTAAAAATAGAAAAATGAAAAAATGGCATAAATATATACAGCCACATCAAAGATGACAAAACCTTCCCATTGTGCACCAACACTGTGTGTGTATGGGTTTTTTATGTAGCAAATCCAGTGTCTGTGGAAATTACTTTCACCCAAATCATTGGTTCAACCAAATGTTCATCTCAACCCTCCTATTTTTGGCCAATTTTTTTCCATTGACTTATTTGATATAGCTTACCATAATTGTTAGCTTAGAATAAAACCAACCATGAAGCTGAGCTCTAGTGAAACTGCTCTCCCTTCTCAGCTGCTATGTGACAGAGGAGAGAGAAAGTGACCATCGCACCAGATTTGTACCAGGATAGTTTTTCTTTTTTTTCTGAGATGGAGTTTCACTCTTGTTGCCCAGGCGGGAGTGCAATGGCACAATCTCGGCTCACTGCAACCTCCGCCTCCCGGGTTCAAGCGATTCTCCTGCCTCAGCCTCCCAAATAGCTGGGATTACAGATGCTCAACCACCACACCCAGCTAATTTTTTGTATATTTAGTAGAGACGGGGTTTCACCATGTTGGCCAGGCTGGTCTCGAACTCCTGACCTCAGGTGATCCACCCACCTCAGCCTCCCAAAGTGCTGGGATTACAGGCGTGAGCCACCGCACCCGGCCGAGATAGTTGTTCTTAACCAGGAAATAGCCTTATTTCTTATTCAACCCAGAAGTAGATAACCTCAAGAAACTTTGGTTCTTAAAATTCTTAAAATCAGAAATATGATTATTAAACGGCTGTATGCTTCTAATTTGGTCAGATTATAGGGTAAAGGTAGGAGATTCCTGGAAGTTTTTTATACTAGCAATTAAAAGGGACTTTAGGGACAGCAGGGCTTGCAAATGTGTGATGTTCTCGCTGATTCTTCATCTTCTTTGCCATGCACAGACATCACTAATCGATCATGGCACTCATCTCTCCAATTTTTCTCTTAATGTCATTTTCCTGTTTTGTCAGCTACTCTCTAGCTACCCTGGCTTTCCTAGGATCTTCATGCTATCTCTCCTGCTTTGAAAGCCCTTCTTCAGGTCTGTTACGTAACTGTTATCTTCTCAGCATTCACCTCTTAGGAAAAATGTCTCCCTCTCTGAAGATTTAAAGACTCCCCCTACTTCCAGTCATTGTGTATTAGTTTTTCCATTTTATTTCCTTAATAGCAAATATCACTCTCTGAAACTATTATTTCTGTATTTGTTTGCTTGTTTACTAATTTATCATCTGCCTCTCTCTTCACTAGAATTCAAGCTCCTAGCCAGTAAAAGTCTTTCTGACTGGTCATAGCTTGGTCCCCATCACTAGAGTGTCCCTGGTGCATAGCAGAACTCACTAAATATATACGTATATATAAAATGAATGAATGAATTCAGTGCCAACTGTAATTATTAAAGTTGTCAGCTAAGATAGCAATAACAACAATAACAGTAACCATAGCAGTAATGGGAAAAGTGACAGCTCGCGTTGATTGAGGCATCCTTATGTGCCAGGCACTAGGCTAAGTGCTTTCAATGCAGTATCGCAAGTGTTTCTCACAGCAATCCTATAAAGCACGTCTCTTATAAACTCCATTTTACAATTGAAAACCCTAAGATTAAAGAGAAGAAACTCACCCAAGTCACACAGCTACTAAGTGGGAGTAGGGAATTGAACCCGGGCCTCAGAGAGATTATCACCTGAGCTCCTAACCTCTTCACACTGTGGCCTCTTCTTTGCCTTTCCTGCCTTTGCTTCTCAGATTACAACATCAACAAAATGAAGCCTGAAAGACAAATGTACCTGCCCAGAATCACACAGTCAGCATTTGTCAGTGAAAGGTTTCAAACGCAAGTCTAAATTCTTTGTATTAGTTCATTTTCACACTGCTATCAAGAACTTCCCTGAGACTGGGTAATTTATAAAGGAAAGAGGTTTAATTGACTCAGTTCCACATAGCTGGGGAAGCCTCAGGAAACTTACAATCATGGTGGAAGGGGAAGCAGGCACATTGCGGCAGGTGAGAGACAGAGAGCATCAAGGGGGAAGAGCTCCACACTTATCAAACAACCACATCTCATGGGAATTCACTCACTATCACAAGAACAGCATGGGGGAAACTGTCCCCATTATCCAATCCCCTCCCACCAGGTCCCTCCCTTGACACCTAGGGATTACAATTTGGATTACAATTCAAGATGAGATTTGGGTGGGGACACAGAGCCAAACCATATTAGTCCTACCTTGAATAATTTGTCTACCTCAGGATCTTTTCTTGGCTCAAGAGCACTCTTAGAACAGTGCCTGGCACATGGCTCGGCCAATATTTATTGAATGAGTGGACACTTGTTCACTAATTTCAACACATCTTTTGGTCACAGTGTTCCATGGTATCATACTGTAGGGAGATGCTTCTCACTAAAATTTTGTTAGGATATTCAAGTAAAATTACAAATGACTATTATTCAGGTAAAAGTATAAATGACCAGTCTCTATTTTAGAGAGATTTAAACATGTGAATGAATAGCGGCAAAGATCCTGCTATGGGAAATTAGGTTATGCAAATATCTTCTAAGGCTGCATGAGAAGCTCTCTTCATTTGAGGGGATTTATTAGCCATCCATACCTATTTTCTTTCACATGCCCTATTTTACATTTCTGCTGCATTTAAGCTGAGTGCTTCATCCAGGTAATCTTCAGTATAAACATAACAGCCAAATTGAAACTAGCGAAGAAGCAGTGATTTTTTTGGATTTTTTTTATAGTGAAGCTTAAGTGCCTGAGCAAATTATAGCCCAGCCAGCCAGAGCGGCAATGAGCCATTCCAATTGTAAATAAACACATGCATGGCCTATAGACAGTCGGGGTGCATCAGAGACATTTCAGAGAATTCATTAGCACCTTCAAAAGGCTAAACCAGATGGCGAGATTGGACAGGAATCTTTGTTGTGCCCCCAGCACCTAGAACATTGGCAGCTAAATAAATGCTAAATTGATACATGGTAGGTGCTGCAATAATATTTGCCAAATGAATAAATGAAGAAATGGGTTTGGTTTTCTAGGAATGTCTTCCGTGGTGACCTGCTTACCTGATATTAACAGTCACTTGCTTCCTATAGAAGGTCATGAGGGCTCAGGGTCTTTCTTTATTCAAGGCAATACCTTGTTAGAGATTTGTATCCTAGAGGAAGGGTTCTAGAGAGCACTCTAAAAGAGAAGTGCTTTTTAATGGAGAGACTGTTCTCACTCAGCTGACATTCATCTTCTTTTCTTTAAGTTAAACCTTCCTCATTCTCTCTTGGCGGACTCTCTTCCACTCTTAGTCAATATTGGTTTAGGTGAAGATGACTTCTTCTCCAGCTCTAGAGAAATGCATGTAACCCAGTCCAGGCAAAATGGGAGTATAATATGCCTGTTACCATAGCCGCATGATTCAAACTAGGCCAGTCAGAGCTGGTAAGTATTAATCTTGGAATTTTGCTGGAATAATGGGAAAGAGGCAAGTTTTCCTCACTAGAGTTGCTTGAAAGATAAAGATGGAGTTTCTGGCATCATCATGTGAGCAAAATGGGAGAGCTTGCCTGAGAAGCCAGTAGAGAAGAAAACAAGACCAAAGGATGGGGAGAAGAAAACCAAGGTCCTGGGTTCAACTATGCCTGAATGCGTATTACCTCTGGAGTATTAATTAGATGAGCCAATAAATGAGTCTCTTTTGCTCAAGTGTGTTTGATTGAGGGTTCTAATATTACTTACACATACTACTCAAATCCTTTTTGATGATTATTTTATACACTGTCTCAAATGTTCAATGTTGAAAAATCAATGTCTGGCAAGCCTCTATGTTATAGTGGCTTGATAGATATATCAACATAGGAGGAAGAAAGAGTCTTAGAAACACAGACTAGTAGCACCAGAAGGGGCCTTCATAGCCATCAAATCCATCCCTTTTGCCAACATAATAATTTCTACTTTGCATTATAGATTAAGAGCTATCAAATATTTATCCCTTCTGACCCAGTAATTCCAATTCTGGAACTCTGACCTAAGGAAATAATCTCACATAATGAAAAAGCTACTACTATAATAAACTACTAAAGCTACTACTATAATAAACTACTAAAGCTACTACTATAATAAACATCTACTCACAGATGTTTATTATAGTAAACAGCTACTCACAGATGTTTATTATAGTAAATAAAACATCTACTCATAGATGCCATAACTAGCATTACTTGTAATAACAAAAAATCAGAAAGTGTCCAATAATATAGAAATGGTTGGATGAATTTTACAAATGTCATATAGTTACTAAAATTATATTTATTAAAAATTTTCAATAATCTGTTTACACCATAATGTTAACTGAAAAAAAGCAGGAAAAAATTGTTTGTATTGTGTGATCATATTATGTTTTTAAAAATTAATGAATAGATAAATAAATAGAAAACAGTATCTCCAAATGCTAACATGGGCTATCTTTAGGTGGTAGGATGATGGGTGATTTTCTACTATTCTTTCTGCTTATTTATGGAGTCTAAATTTTCTATTATTAGCAGATATTATTTTATAGAGAAAAGCATGTTACTAAACTTTTAAAATAACTCTACCAGCTCCCTGACAGAAGTCAGCCGGCTTTGACTTGGAAATGTCACGCCTGCCTCCTTCAGACATAAAACCTAGTGAATGCATGTGGAAGACCAGTGAGTAGTGCAGATGCAAATCCCTCAAACAACTGAATTATGTGCACGTACCAGACACCAATTCTACGAGTTTAAAATGAGAAGGCATTGAAAGATCTTACCACTGATCTTTTATCTCCACAGGGGCTTAGCAGTAACAGCTATTGTTGGAAGCATCATTTCCTTATTAACCTCATTAGTGAGGAAAACTCAAGGAAAAACCTTAAATGCACACTCCTCAAAATGATGCTTTTCAGGTACTTCTATTCTTCAGGGGCACAAACGGGTCTTCTAGGACAGAAGTGAGATTCCAAATCCCAGAGCTCTCACTCTTCTTGAATAAACCAGTAGACTTAGGCACTGAAGGGATCCCAGAGTTTGATCTTTTCCTTACTCAAAAGAATTAATTCAGAAAAATCAACAGAGCTGGCCAGAGAAGGAGAAGCTGGGGGACACATTGATTAAATCAGTGGGCTTGGCTATGTCTGTTATTAGTTGATCTGGGCACAAAAGATGGCTCCAGAATCATGACTCTCACTCAGGGTCCAGAGCAACCATAGGTCTCCGTCCAAACGCCAACTTTCCTATCCTTCTCAGCCCATTGGAAAATCATTTTGGCTGCCATTTTGTTTCTGACCAATGAATATAAGGCATGTTATGGGTCCCATTGCTAGAGTAGAATATCGAATAGATATGAATATGGCAATTCTTGTGGAATTACCTGGACAGAAAAAAAAAAGTGAAATGAATATTTGTCCCGGAGAAGAATAGGCACTAGGGAGGATTTGCTCCCTCACACTCTTGCACCTACCTGGGACAAAATGGAGAAGCTGCGGGTTCTCGACAGAAGTGTGAATGCAGCAGAGCCTGTCGCTGAGGTTTGGAGGCTCCTTTCTGAACCTTTCTTCATCTCTCCTCTTCCATCAAAAGCTGATATTAAGAATGACTAGCTGGGTGTGGTGGCTCACACCTGTAATCCCAGCAATTTGGGAGACAGAGGCAGGAGGATCACTTAAGTCCAGGAGTTTGAGGCCAGCCTGGGCAACATGGTGAGACCCCGTCTTTACAAAAAATACAAAAAATTAGCTGGCAGGGATGTTGCACACCTGTGGTCCCAGCTACACAGGAGGCTGAGGTGGGAGGATCGCTTGAGCCTAGGAGGCAGAGGTTGTGGTGAGCCACAATCGGGCAACTGCACTCCAGCCAAGGTGACAGATTGAGACTCTGTCTCAAATAAATAAATAAATAAATAAATAAATAAATAAATATAAATAAATCTAAGGAAAAAATAAATAAAAAAATGACCGATATCAGTCACATCAACCTCAGAGAGACTTTTCTACTTGGTTATTGCTGTATGTGTAGTGTTTGAAATGTCTGTAGCAGGCAAAGGAAGCAAATTTCACAACAGAGAAATGATCATTAAGTACTTCCCATGAAGCAGCTTATGCAAGGACTTTACATTTATCTAACCCTCATAACGACCCTGTGAAATAAGGATTATTAGCTGTAGTCTCCCCACTACCTCCCCAATCCCCCCAACCCTCCACTCTCACCCCTGCACCCCCTACCCCCCACCTCCATTTTATGTTTGAAGAAATAAGGCCCACAGAGTTTAATAAACTGCCTGAGGTCACACAGCTAGAAACCACCAAGACAATTAAAATTAGGGCAATGTAATCCCAAAGTCTGAGCCCCTAACGTCTTTGCTTTCTGGAAATGTATAACTTAATCATACCTGAAACTAAACCACAAGTTAAAAGGGAAACACACTGTATAGACACTGCCCTGACAGCACGCTCTGCTCACCCAACATTCAAAACTTCTATTTTCAGTCCAGTTTCTCAATGAGCAATGAAAGGCACCAGACCCTGCCTATCAAAGGACTATCAGATCCCGACTGCCAGACAGAATTCTTTGGGGACAGAGTGGCTTCTAGGTGAACCTGAGATCTCACTCCATAGGCAGCCACCCAGGTCACTTTCATAGGAAGCCAAGGGAGGGGCCATGAGACATGCTATGAGGTCTACCAGTGAAGGACGAGCAATGGCCTGAGTGTGTGTGTTGTGGGCTGGGGGACAAGGAATGGACCACCCCAACCCCTGGGAGTCAGCACCTCCAGCGAGTGAGTGTCCCTTCCAGGAGGCTTTTTGCAGACTCCAGTGTCCAATTTCTACGATGACAGCAGTTGTCTTTCCATAGCCTCCAAGGTGGCACTGCAGGTGCCTCTAAGAGACCAGGTAGCCTGGGGAAAAAGGAGAGCAAAGTCTACAGGCCTCCCTCCTGCAAAGCTGGCCCCTTCCACCCTGAATATGAGCAGAGGATGCAGGCCTCTAGACAGTTGCCTCTGGCACCGTTCTTAGAACCCCCGTTCTCTAAAACAGGAGGAAAATAGCAGGGAGCTAAGATTCAAGGCATGAGAGTGGAGCCTCCTAAGTAAAAATATTGTTCATTCCTTCCAAAGTCCATTTTCTTTGCTGGGACCCTGACATGTCCATGGAGAGGAGCTGGGTGAGGGAGACTGACTGTGAGCAACCCAGAGGAGAAAGGAGTTGGGGGACTGTCATGGCCCATGCCACAATTGCTGTACCTCCTACCTGTTCTGACATTGCATTTGGCAAAAGAGGGGTTGGATTCTGGGGTGTGAGAAAGAAAAAAAATGTCTCTGGGCATTGAGCAACCTCTCTCAGCAACAGCACTCCTCAGAAAGGGTAATAATGTAAACATTCACCCATTAGAGGAAAAAACTTAGCCTTTATGCCACCCTCTCCACCATTAACAACATTGGCAGCCCTATTAAAGTACAAGTCAGATTTGTGTTTAATGATCTTGAAAGTAAAGTAATTGCTTGAGTGTTACCATTCAAATGTTCTTAGAAGTGCAGATAATATTTACAATTGGATTGTCCTTTCGGAAGGGGTAGGCAGGCAGCCTTCCTCCGCTATTTGAAGCTGAGGCTGGGGAGAAGTGACTTCAGCAATTGGCTTATGGGTCTAAAAGCTCAGCGTTTATTTTCGTTTCTTCTTTTCAATATCAAGAGACTCCAGAGCATTAGCCATACCTCATTCCTTCAAGGAAGGAGATGCTGAGAGGAACAATTTGTGGTGCAAGTTAAAGCACAACCAAATAGCTCCTTGGGAAAACAGCAGAAGGCATTTGTGTTGAGTCAGTATTTCAGGAATTTGGGAAGCCAGATTGTATCTTTCCTGAGAGAAGAGTAAAACCAAATCAAAACGCAAGGGCCAGACACGATGGCTTATATCTGTAATCCTAGCACTTTGGTGGGCCAAGGCAGGAGGATTGCTTGAGCCCAGGAATTTGAGACCAGCCAGGGCAACATAGTGAGACCCAGCTCTACAAAAGGTTTTAAAAAATAAGCTGGGCATGGTGGCATATGCCTGTAGGCCCAGCTCCTTGGAGGCTGAGGTGAGAGGATCACTTGAGCCCAGGAAATCAAGGCTGCAGTGAGCTATGATTGCACCACTGCACTCCAGCCTGGGCAACAAAGCAAGACACCGCCAAAAAAAAAAAAAAAGCAAGGATAAGGGAAAGAGCAAAAGAAGTTATAATCAAATGGATGGGTTTCTAAGCCAAATTGTGTGGCAATGTCAGTTTTCCGGTCTACAGCCATCTCTAAGACTACAGCATCAATTTACAGATTTATGAAACCAACTTTGTTGCTGTAGGAAACAAACAAGTTAGTGCATGGAGACCAGGCAATAGCATATGGGCACAAACTATGGAGAGAGTTCCCAGTTCAAACCCCAACCTGGCCATTAGTAGCTGTATGACCTTGGGAGAAAGTAATTTACTGTCTCTGAGCTTCAGTGTCCTTATCTGAAAAATAGGAATGATAACTCTACTCATCCCACAGGGCAATCACAGGGATCTGGAGAGATTCTGGAAGCAAAGGGCCAGGCACAGTGCCTGGCAAAGGGTAGGTGCTGAACAACCGTCCTTAATTATTATTAATATCAGAAAAGGTGAGTGAGGCTGTAACTGCCAACAGTACCCAGCTATCCATAAGCACTATTTGGATATTTGTGTATTTGGCATATTCAACATTAGTAGGATCCTGAGCTTCTAGCTGTTCTTGGTACTTCTGTGTCCAGGAGGAAGTAGAAGCCGTGGCAATTCTGCCCATTTTACAGAAGAAGAACTTGTTGAAAGCCTTGCCAAGGCCACAATCCCTCAGGCCGACCTCAGACAGGAATGGGCTTGGTCTGGTTCAATGCTCCCTCTCTCAGACCACACAGTCTTCCTATCACCACCTGCCATTTATGAACAAATCCGGCCTTCACATCTTCCCTTTGAGCTATAAATCTAGGCTTGGGAGGTGTGGTGGGAAGGTACAGCTAGTGAATCACCATAGTGAGAATGGAAAAACCGTTTTCCTCTGGACCCAGAAGACAAGGAAATGTGGCAAAGGAAAAGCATCTCATGATGGGGTGCTGGCCCCAGGGAAGAGGCTGAAAACTGTCAGGTTGCATCGTTGCTCACAAAATTACACGCATGGTTTGTATCCTGTGTGTACTTCCTGCAATTCCCTTTCCTCTCCCTCATCCCCTTGGCCTCTTCCCCACTTCATAGGATGGGCTAATGCTTTGCTGGAGAGGGATGGGGTCGGGAGGGCATGGCAGTTCACTTCTTTTCATTGAATAACTGCAAATTACAAATGCCTCCTTCTCCCAAATTTCATAATAAACAAAGACCTCTATATTTGGCATAGAGAGGTTAAGTGACTTGCCTAGGATGCACAGCTGGTATAAGCTGGGCCAGATTTTCTGACTCAGGGTCCTAACTTCTAAATTAACATTAGGTTAAATGATAATTGAGGATTTGTTGAGGATTTGATCCAGTGTGTGTGTGCATTTACGTGTCTGTGTGTTGAATAGAGAACACTTGGCCTTTTTAGGGGGGAGTTGTGTGGGTATGGAAATTACTGTTAGCCAAAGTATCCATAAGCATCCCTGGAAACTCATAGGACTTTCTTTGCTCTTCGTGCCCTACTTTACTAAGTGAGTTTCTTTAACAGCACTTCTCAAAGAATGATCTTTAACCAGCAGTGTCAGCATTTTCGGAGCGCTTGTTAGAAATGCACACTTTCAGACCCTATAGGGGACCTAGAGCACCAGAATCTCTGAAGGTGAGCCCAGGAATCTCAAGTTAACAAGACCTTTTCACGATCCTATGTGTGGTCAAACATGAGCAGCACTGAGCTCAGACCCAACCCAGTGGCTATGGCACTGTACTATAGTCCAGTGATTATAAGCATGGGTTTACCATGGCACAGACTGGGGGGTCAAATCATTTTCCTGAACTCTAACACTGTTCCTTCTTCTCAGATTTCCTTCTAGCCCCCTCCCTCATCTCCTTCAGGTGTTTGCTCAGATGTCGCTTTTGCTGCTATGCCAACTGACCACTGGATTTAAAGTAGCAATCTGCCTGCACCCCCACTGCCTCCACCCATCTTTCCTCATTTGTTTTTCTCCATAGCATTTATCACCTGATGTGTTACGTATGCATGTTGTTTGTTTCTTATTATCTGTCTCCGTTGCTCCCTCCTCGAATGTAAGCTTCATGAGGGCAGGCGCTTTTGTCTGCTTTGTTTGCAGCTGTAATCTCAGCTCCTAGGTCAGTGCCTGGCACATAGTAAGCACTTAATAAGTATTTGTTGCATGAATGGGTGAGTCATTTACTAACTAGATGAACTTTGAGAAAGTTACTTAAATTCTCCAAACCTCTGTTTCTTCATCCGGGAAATGGGCATAATAGTCATATCACAGGGTTATTAAGAGGCATAAACAAGATAGTGTATAAAAATCAGTTGGCACAGTGCCTAACACAAAGCCAATTATCAAAAATAACTACACTATTGCCTGAATAAAGTGATAGGAACATGTCTGAATCTATTCCATTCCCATGGTGTAAGATTGAGGAAATGGGAAAAGAGTTCAGTGTTCATTTGTTGGTAAAAAAATTTTTTTAAGCCAAACACTTTCAATTTCAGAGTCATAAAAGAGATGTGAATGTCAGAATGGTCATATCAAAATGTCATGCATATTACAATTATAACAAGACTGGACCCAAATTAGAAGGAGTTATTCTATAATGTGTTTATTGAGGAGAAGTATTGGTTTGCAGAAAATTACCATGGACCTTAGGAAATGAAGGCGCCATGGTCCCTGCCATTGTATCTGTCTTCACAGTTATGGCTGCTCATGGGGCCCATTCAGAAGGAAAAAGGTAAACACATTCCACATTGGAGCCCAACTTCGGAGCCATGGAAGTATGACTTCTTTGACACTCCCTCCATTAAAAGCTAGCGTCCATCCCCTGCCTCTTCAGTCTAGGCAGGCTTGTGACTGTTTTGACCAATGGGGTATGACCAAAATGATGCTTTGTGACTTCTGAAGCTAGGTCATAAAAAGTCATGTGATTCTGCCTTGCTTACTGTCAGAAGTCTGAGTGGAGAGGCCAGGTGTGGGCTCCAGTCGCCAGTCCCAGTGGACCCCATCTTTGAAGCCATCCCTGCCAAGGTGCAGACATGTGAGTGAAGCCTCTAAACTTCACTTAGACCCTTGAAACCAGCCAACTCACCAGCAGAATACCACTCTGAGACCACTGTTCAAGCCATATGGAGCAGATGAATCACTTCACCAAGCCTGAACTCTGACCCACAATATTGAGAGATGAAATAAAATAGTTGTGATTTTAAACCATCATACATTGTCGTCATTTGTTACACAGCAATAGATGGCTGGAATGGGCATCTTTGGGAATACAGGCCTGCCATCGTACAAGAGCAGAAGGTGTCAAATGAATAACTTCAGAACATAAGACAGATGAGAAAAGAACATAATCCCCTATTATTTTTTTCTTTGTCCTTTTGAATATCGTTGATTTAGACTGATTTTTTGAGTTGTTTGAAAATACTCTCTTTATGCTTGGAGGTCTGTTGTTAGGAAAGGTTTGTTTCTAAGATCCAGGTGTCAGGCAGGTCTTTTCCTCTTTCATTCTCTTCATCAGTTTCTTCCTTTCTTCTCTCTCACCCCTTCCCCGAAACTGAGCCCCACTTGCAAAGCTGACAAATATAAGTTCCCTAAAAGTTAAAAAACATATTAGAAAGAATATCAAAATTAATTAATGACAATAATAGAGATGAATGAAAGAAATACAGCATCTAACGCTTGAGTTCAAGACCTTGGTTGAATCCCTTTTCCTCCTTGTGCCTCAATGACTTCAGCCATAAAATGAGAGGGCTGACCTTTGATCCCTAAAGGATCTCCCAGCATTAGCATCCTGAATTTCCAAAAAGCATGGAGGACCAATGAGAAGGCAAAATGCTCATTTGCTAGATCAGATCTCCACAAGGGCAGAGTATGCATATGACTTTTTTGTAACTAAGTATCCAGTATGTGAAAAATAGCATCATTTAAAAATAATAGGCTGGGCATGGTGGCTCATGCCTGTAATCCCAGCACTTTGGGAGACCGAGGCGGGTGGATCACCTGAGGTCAGGAGTTCAAAATCAGCCTGGCCAACATGGCGAAACCCCATCTCTACTGAAAATACAAAAATTAGTGGGGCTTGGTGGTGCATGCCTGTAATCCCAGCTACTCAGGAGGCTGAGGCAGGAGAATCGCTTGACCCCAGGAGGCAGAGGTTCCAGTGACCTGAGATGGCGCCATTGCACTCTAGCCTAGGCAACAGAGCAAGAGTCTGTCTCAAAATAATAATAATAATAATAATAATAACAATATTAATAGTAATAGGAAACCATCACTGGGCACTTTTCCAGACATTGCTCTATATACTGTAGGTGCCTTCTCTTATTTAATTCTCAGAACAGTCTTATGAGGTAGGTACTACTGTTACCCCATTCTACAGACAATAGTACTGAGGCTTAGGGGGTTTATATAAGAAGCACAAAGGTAAAGAGATAGTAAACAGTGGAGCTGGAATTGGAAGCCAGCTAGTCTAAATAGAAAGCCCCAGCTCTTGATTGCAACTATTTCCGGAAAGAAGGGTGAGAAGGACAGAGCTATGGCGTCTCCCAGCCTTGGAGTATTTGCTTTGATTACAAGGGTGGCTCTAAGACAGCAAAAGAAATTAAGGTAAGACCTTGCCTTGTCTCCTGAGCTGTTATTCTCCCAAGATTCTGCCCTAGCTCTTTGACATTGGCCTTGCACCCAGGCCTCAGGTGACTACCTCCTTGACACCTCTGGCCCCATGGACAGGTACTTAGCTCCCTCCTAATCCTCTTGTAGAGGAACAGCCTGTAGCACTGGGCTCTCACCAATGAAGGAGGAAGCTCAGTCAAGCCCAAGAGTTTGTGTCAAGAGAGCCATCATTTGAGATGGTGTCTGGAAAAGGCCTTCAGGGGGAGCCACTATCCCAAGTCTGTTATTATCAAAAGTATCTGAATTGTATTTGGGGAAATAATTTTTCAAGTTTGTGAATGGGAGCTGGCATGGCATGTACAGGATTCTGTGGCCTGGAAGCCAGGAGACATTGGTCCCGTCACAGTTCCAACACAGATTTCTCATGTAAACCTGAGCCAGCAGCTTTATCCACTGGGCTCCTGACCTGTAAGGTCCCTCGTTGCTCTGAGACATTCCATCTTGGCCCATGATTCCAAAAAACCCCATGATGAGCTCATGCCAGAGCTTCAACTTGCAGCACAGGGAATGTACCAAAAGGCTCTGGCCCCTTGACCTGAACATTCAAACAACTCAGTAAGAAAAACACACCCAAGGGCTGTATTGTTGGGGCAGCCAGGGTCTGCTCCCTAAATGTCGTCAGCCCCAAATCCCCTGCTCTGTCACAGAATTGTTCAACCAAAAGAGTATGAGGACATTGTTCTGTTCATCTTGTTGAGGACAGAGGGATCTCTCGAGGAGGAAGTAAGACTTTGGAGGTTTGGGGAGGCATTATGGTGGGTGCTTACAGCTGGATAAATTGTAAAATGCTCTCTCACCGCCAACTCGCCCCACCTCATTTGCTGCCTGTGCCTCTTCCTTTATCTCTATTCATATCTTTACACGAACATGTTGCTGTTCCCAAATGAAAGAAATCCATTCAAATGGAAGGTTATCTGATGTCATCAAAACCATGCCTGTGTTGCTCTTAAACACCACCAAAGATGCTGGCAAGACCACACCAGCCAGAACCATCACTCCCAAATCTGGTGGCCAAGCAACTTCCTTTCCTCTGTAATTAGTCCTCATGTGAATTAGGGTGGTCCTTGACCTACTGTCTCTTTAAACCAGTGGCCTTTTTTCCAAGGAATCCCATTTCTAACTCACTTTTCTTTCCTTTATTTCCCCATCTGATTGCTTACCTGTTTCTGTTCCCTAAAAATCATCTTTGTGCTCTGAGAGTAGTCAGTGCACATTCCTCTCCACTAGGACTTTTAATCATTTCTTCCAGAGCCCAACCCCAAGGCTCTGAGTCTTTTTGGTTTATTTCCTTATCCTAACTGAGCAAGGACCCAGTGTGGCAATCAAGTCTTCAATTCTCTAATGACTTCAGGGAGAGCTGTGGCGAAAGCAACCAGCTTGATGATCTACCAGGTGAAGCTTAAAAGCATCTCACTGGTATGATATTTGGTTCTGGTGGCTGAGGACCACGATGTTAAGTGACCTTCCTTGCCATGGGAGATTCTACTATTGTTCTTGCATATTTGCTGTCCCTCTTCATGAGAAGATTGTACTTCCCACCCAGGTGACATCAAGCGTGCCTCTGTGACTTGGTTTGGTCAATGGCATGTGAGTGGCAGTAACATATGTCACACTCAAACAGAAGTTGTAAGAGCCAACAGGTAGTTCTATCTTTGCTCCTTTCTCTGCCAGGAAAGCTTCATGACGTGTGTATCAACAGCCTCTTCAACCTGGATCCCAGAGGGAAGACACATGGAGCAGAGCTGCAGCTCACCCACCGCTGAAATGTGATGGAACACAAGGAATAGACCTTTTTTCAAGAGCCACTGAGCTGCAGGGCTGTTCGTTACCGCAGCACAACTGAGGAAAAGCAAATGCACCATACTAAAAAGTGAAAACGGCAGTGCTATTCTGGGCCTCTACAGGATGGTGGATTCTGCTTGTTCCTCAAGGGAAATGTCTTCTCTTCCTCTGCTGTTCATAAAGCTGGTTACTATGAAGACACTCAACAAGCAGCATGTACCAGAAAACATGCATGTGACTCTCTATAGCTTACCAAGGCTTTCATGCTTGTACAAGGTCTCATGTGACCCTAACCACAACCTGGTAAGATGCAGTGGACAGGCAACCCTGATAGAAGTAAGGAAGTGAGATGATTGGAGAAATGCAAATCCAAACCACAATGAGATACCATCTCACATCAATCAGATGGCTATTACTAAAAAGTCAAAAAATAACAGATGCTGGTGGGGTTGTGGAGGAAAGGGAATGCTTATACACTGTTAGTAGGACTGTAAATTAATTCAACCATTGTGGAAAGCAGTATGGCAATTCCTCAAAGAGCTAAAAGCAGAATGACCATTTGACCCAGCAATCCCATTACTGGGTATATACCCAAGGGAATGTAAATCATTCTACCATAAAGACACATTCATGCAAATGTTCACTGCTGCACTACTCACAGTAGTAAAGATATGGGATCAACATGAATGTCCATCAATGACAAATTAGATAAAGAAAATGTATACATATACACCATAGAATACTATGCAGCCATAAAAAAAGAAGGAGATCATGTCTTTTGCAGGAACATGGAAGTAGCTGGAGGCTATTATCCTTAGCAAACTAACAAAGGAACAGAAAACCAAATACCATATGTTCTCGCTTATAAGTGGGAACTAAAGGATGAGAACTCATGGACACAAAGAAGGGAACAACAGACACTGGGATACCCTTGAGGGTGGAGGGTGGGAGGAGGGAGAGGAGCAGAAAAGATAACTATTGGGTGAAGGGCTTAATACCTTGGTGATGAAATAATCTGTACAACAAACCCCCATGACACGAGTCCTACTTTGTAACAAATCTTCACATGTACCCCCAAACCTAAAATAAAAGTTAAGGAAGTGAGAAACAAATGATTAGACACTTTCCCAAGGGGATGTGGCTCTTCAGTAGGACAGCCAAAACTGGTACCCAGGCCCTGTGCATCTCAGACCATTTCTCCCCCACTACAGTGCCTAGTGCTGATGCTACCTGCAGGAGGGAAAACTGAAGTGCCATCTAGGGTCTCCCATGTTCAAGTACCGTGGAACATCTTTCCTACCCAACAAGATCAGGCAGAACCCACTCCACTCATTCAGGTGCACTTTGAACACAACATGCAATATAAACATGTGTGGGTTTCAAGCTGGCTTTTAGGAAAAGGCAATTGCATTTTGAAACATTTCATCTGCAAAATCAATGGATTGGGACCTTGTCAGATATTTGCTTAGAACAAATAAAAGCTATTATGCACTCTGTAAAATTTAAAACACCCACATAAAAAGACTTGTGTAGGGATGTCTCTGGCAAACTTTTGACCAATCAGATCTTGCACTTGTGGAACCAGTCAGAACTCACCCATGCCCTGAATAACTCTTTAGATGATGCAACTCATGCTTAGTGACTTAAGAGAAAATGATAAGTAACATATATTTATATACGTAATACATTTATGTTGGTATAACTATTATGTTTGTGCTAACACAGTTACTATGAAATAATTACTGATTAATAAACTGTTAAGTCCTACCCTTAACAAAGGTGAAAACTTTGAATCGGGTTATATAAAAAGTCAAAAGCAGGTGACTCAAGAGGGATGCACTTTACCTTGTGGTGACTTGAGCTTCCTAAGGGCCTCACCAAGTTCTGAGCACCAGGCACCACAGCTCCCAACAGGAAATATTCTACCTGGAAACCCAAGGCAGCTAGGATCCAGAGAAACATCTACTCTGGCATCGCTATCTGCAGAAATTGCTCTCAGTTTATATGTCCAGGCTAGAGCCATTAGTGGGTAAGTCTAATTAATTTACATATGTATCAAACGTCTAGTATTGACCAAGTGATAAACTAGATGTTCAGAGATTTCTAAGTGAAAAATTGAGAGGTAATTTTGCCCACAACCTCCATCACTTAGAATTCACACACTGATTCCATACATGTTCACTGTTATCTCCTCCCCCAGCATCCACTGCATTTTCTAAGGTAGGGCTCCTCCAGACAGGAGAACAAGAGTCTAATTCTTGGCTTTGGTGTTTCAAAAGCCAGAGCTTTTAATTAGCAAAAATCTGATTTAGGGTCTTAAAACATCCCTCATGGGATATCACCCAAAAGCAAAAAGAACTGAAGGGAAAAAAAAACCCTAAACAATTTTCTGTCATTATATCATTGATGGTGGAGTTGGTAGTCTAACACGGGTGTTCTAATATGTATTATAGATTAAAAGAAATGAGTAAGTTTGTGTCCTTGGGAACCAGAATCTGGCGTACAAAGAAGAAAGAGAAGCAAGATAGATGCAGTTAAATAGAAACCCTTAGTCTCAAATTTGAAATGATGTTTATCAATATCAATTTATGTTGTATTTCTCTTTATCCCTACATTTTCCACCAAAAAGATCTGGAGATAATAACCAATCCAATGCCCTCCCGTAGTGCCAAAGCTGTGGTTTTGAATCACTATTTCCAAATGAAAAGAACCAGGAATCCTTAGAGAAATGGCTGATTCCAGGGCAAAGACAGGAAACATATTATAAAAGGGCTTGGAAATATTTCATCAAACCAAAGAGCAACTACAGTATCACAGGTTACTGGGGTCATGTCAAGAAGACTCAGGGGCCAACTTAAAAGAAGATCTCATTGGCCAAAGATAGGACAATATGAGGTTCCATAAAAATAACCTTAATGGATGTTGACACTTCAAATGTGTTTAAATTCATGAGTTTTCAGTTATCCTTTTTTAAAAGTTAACTTTGGAGGATGCTAGGTAATAATTATTTGGAAACTAGATTATTTTTAAAAGGTAAGAATCAAGCAATCAAATATTGTTCCTTTCCTTTCCTTTCCTTTCCTTTCCTTTCCTTTCCTTTCCTTTCCTTTCCTTTCCTTTCCTTTCCTTTCCTTTCCTTTCCTTTCCTTTCCTTTCCTTTCCTTTCCTTTCCTTTCCTTTCCTTTCCTTTTTGAAACAGGTCTCTCACCCAAGCTGGAGTGCTGTGGCACAGGCAAAATCATGGCTCACTGCAGCCTCAACTGCCCAGGCTTAAGTGATCTATCCACTTCAGCCTCCAAAGTAGCTGTAACTACAGTCATGAGCCACTATGCTCAGTTAATTTTTAAACTTTTTGTAGAGATAGGATTTCACCATGTTCCTCAGGCTAGTCTCAAACTCCTGGGCTCAGGTGATCCAGCTGCCTTGGCCTCCCAAAGTGCTGGGAGAACAAGTGTGAGCCATCATGCGTGGTCTCTTCTACCTTTTCTATTTTTTTTCTATTATACTTTAAGTTTTAGGGTACATGTGCACAACGCGCAGGTTTGTTACATATGTATACATGTGCCATTTTGGTGTGCTGCACCCATTAACTCGTCATTTAACATTAGGTATATCTCCTAATGCTATCCCTCCCCCCTCCCCCCACCCCACAACAGGCCCCGGTGTGTGATGTTCCCCTTCCTGTGTCCATGTGTTCTCATTGTTCAATTCCCACCTATAAGTGAGAACATGCAGTGTTTGGTTTTTTGTCCTTGCGATAGTTTGCTGAGAATGATGGTTTCCAGCTTCATCCATGTCCCTACAAAGGACATGAACTCATCATTTTTTATGGCTGCATAGTATTCCATGATGTATATGTGCCACATTTTCTTAATCCAGTCTATCATTGTTGGACATTTCGGTTAGTTCCAAGTCTTTGCTATTGTGAATAGTGCCACAATAAACATACATGTGCATGTGTCTTTATAGCGGCATGTTTTATAATCCTTTGGGTATATACCCAGTAATGGGATGGCTGGGTCAAATGGTATTTCTAGTTCTAGATCCTTGAGGAATCGCCACACTGGTTCCACAATGGTTGAAGTAGTTTACAGTCCCACCAACAGTGTAAAAGTGTTCCTATTTCTCCACATCCTCTCCAGCACCTGTTGTTTCCTGACTTTTTAATGATCGCCATTCTAACTGGTGTGAGATGGTATCTCATTGTGGTTTTGATTTGCATTTCTCTGATGACCAGTGATGATGAGCATTTTTTCATGTGTCTTTTGGCTGCATAAATGTCTTCTTTTGAGAAGTGTCTGTTCATCTCCTTCACCCACTTTTTGATGGGGTTGTTTGTTTTTTTCTTGTAAATTTGTTTGAGTTCATTGTAGATTCTGGATATTAGCCCTTTGTCAGATGAGTAGATTGCAAAAATTTTCTCCCGTTCTGTAGGTTATCTGTTCACTCTGATGGTAGTTTCTTTTGCTGTGCAGAAGTTCTTTAGTTTAATTAGATCCCATTTGTCAATTTTGGCTTTTGTTGCCATTGCTTTTGGTGTTTTAGACATGAAGTCCTTGCCCATGCCTATGTCCTGAATGGTATTGCCTAGGTTTTCTTCTAGGGTTTTTATGGTTTTAGGTCTAACATTTAAGTCTTTAATCCATCTTGAATTAATTTTTGTGTAAGATGTAAGGAAGGGATCCAGTTTCAGCTTTCTACATATGGCTAGCCAGTTTTCCCAGCACCATTTATTAAATAGGGAATCCTTTCCCCATTGCTTGTTTTTCTCAGGTTTGTCAAAGATCAGATGGTTGTAGATGTATGGTATTATTTCTGAGGGCTCTGTTCTGTTCCATTGGTCTATATCTCTGTTTTGGTACCAGTACCATGCTGTTTTGGTTACTGTAGCCTTGTAGCATAGTTTGAAGTCAGGTAGTGTGATGCCTCCAGCTTTGTTCTTTTGGCTTAGGATTGACTTGGCGATGTGGGCTCTTTTTTAGTCCCACATGAACTTTAAAGTAGTTTTTTCCAATTCTGTGAAGAAAGTCATTGGTAGCTTGATGGGGATGGCATTGAATCTATAAATTACCTTGGGCAGTATGGCCATTTTCATGATATTGATTCTTCCTACCCATGAGCATGGAATATTCTTCCGTTTGTTTGTATCCCCTTTTATTTCACTGAACAGCGGTTTGTAGCTCTCCTTGAAGAGGTCCTTCACATCCCTTGTAAGTTGGATTCCTAGGTATTTTATTCTCTTTAAAGCAATTGTGAATGGGAGTTCACTCATGACTTGGCTCTCTGTTTGTCTGTTAATGGTGTGTAAGAATGCTTGTGATTTTTGCACATTGATTTTGTATCCTGAGACTTTGCTGAAGTTGTCTATCAGCTTAAGGAGATTTTGGGCTGAGACGATGGGGTTTTCTAGATATACAATCATGTCATCTGCAAACAGGGACAATTGGACTTCCTCTTTTCTTAATCGAATGCCCTTTATTTCCTTCTCCTGCCTGATTTCCCTGGCCAGAACTTCCAACACTATGTTGAATAGGAGTGGTGAGAGAGGGCATCCCTGTCTTGTGCCAGTTTTCAAAGGGAATGCTTCCAGTTTTTGCCCATTCAGTATGATATTGGTTGTGGGTTTGTCATAGACAGTTATTATTTTGAGATACGTCCCATCAATACCTAATATATTGAGAGTTTTTAGCATGAAGGGCTGTTGAATTTTGTCAAAGGCCTTTTCTGCATCTATTGAGATAATCATGTGGTTTTTGCCATTGGTTCTGTTTATATGCTGGATTACTTGATTGATTTGTGTATGTCGAACCAGCCTTGTATCCCAGGGATGAAGCCCACTTGATCATGGTGGATAAGCTTTTTGATGTGCTGCTGGATTCGGTTTGCCAGTATTTTATTGAGGATTTTTGCATCGATGTTCATCGGGGATATTGGTCTAAAATTCTCTTTTTTTGTTGTGTCTCTGCCAGGCTTTGGTATCAGAATGATGCTGGCCTCATAAAATGAGTTAGGGAGGATTCCCTCTTTTTCTATTGATTGGAATAGTTTCAGAAGGAATGGTAGCAGCTCCTCCTTGTACTTCTGGTAGAATTCGGCTGTGAATCCATCTGGTCCTGGACTTTGTTTGGTTGGTAAGCTAATAATTATTGCCTTAATTTCAGAGCCTGTTATTTGTCTATTCAGAGATTCAACTTCTTCCTGGTTTAGTCTTGGGAGGGTGTATGTGTCGAGGAATTTATCAATTTCTTCTAGATTTTCTAGTTTATTTGCATAGAGGTGTTTATAGTATTCTCTGAAGTCTGTCTTTTCTATTTGCACTAGATCTCAGCATAACCAAATAGTTGATAAGGAGGAGTTTCATTTTATTGAATTATTTTGGTTAATAAATAAGGAATAATAAAATTATAAAATCACCATTTTGTAACCTCTAATAGAATAATGGATTTGGCAATAATCACCAATGGCTGCTAACTTCACAGAAACAGAGACTCCTAGGGAATAGTGCCTCCTGATAGAAACCTACCGCTCTGCCTAGGAAATAGTTCTGCCAATCTAACCTTTCCTCTTCATCTGACTATCCATTTACATACAGCATAGAGGAATATGTTAAAACAACACCACAGAGCTGCAAACAGCAAAATCCAAACTGTGGGAAACTCTACCAGCAAAATTAATGAAGGAGGGGACAAATGAGAAAGAGTGGGAAGATCTATAGATTGAAAGACACTTAAAAGACATTTACTACAAACTGAATTCTGTGTCCCCAATATTCATATGTTGAAGCCTTAAGCCCCAATGTGACTGTATTAGGAGACAGGATTTTTAGGAGGTAATTAAGGTTAAGTGAGATCATAAAGATGGGGTCCTAATCTGAGAGGATTGCTGGTCTTCTTTTTTACTGCAGTCTCCACCTCCTGGGTTCAAGTGGTTCTCCTGCCTCAGCCTCCCGAGTAGCTGGGACCACAGGTGCATGCCACCACGCCTGGCTAATTTTTGTATTTTTAGTAGAGATGGGGTTTCACCATGTTGGCCAGGTTCGTCTCCAACTCCTGACCTCAGGTGATCCACCTGCCTCAGCTTCCCAAAGTGCTGAAATTATAGGCGTGAACCACTGTGCCTGGCCAGATTGCTGGTTTCCTAAGAAGAGAAAGCAATCCCCTGCCCATCCCATTCTCTATCTCTCTCCATGCACATTCATCTAAGAAAGGCCAGGTGGGCCAGGCATGGTGGCTCACACCTGTAATCCCAGCACTTTGGGAAGCTGAGGTGGTTGGATCGTTTTAGCCCAGGGTTTCAAGACCAGCCTGAGCAACATGAGACCCCATCTCTACACACACACACACACACACACACACACACACACACACACACACACGCACACATGCCCAATAAATAAATAAATAGCCAGGTGTGGTGGTGCATCCCTATAGTTCCAGCTACTCCAGGGGCTGAGGTGGGAGGATAGCTTGAGGTTGAGATGCAGCGAGTGTGTTTGCACCACCACTCTCCAGCCTGGGCAGCAGAATGAGATGAAAGGAAAAGAAAGAAAGAAAGAAAAGAAAAGAAAAGAAGGAAGAAAGAAAGAGAAAAAATCACCTGAGGTCAGGAATTTGAGACCTGCCTGGCCAACATGGTGAAGCCCTGTCTCTACTGAAAATGCAAAAATTAGCCAGGGGTGATGGTTTGCAGTGGTGGAAGGAATGAAGGAAGGAGAGAGAAAGACAGAGAGAGACAGAGGGGAAGGGAGGAAGGCCATGTGAGGACAAAGAGAGAAGGTGACCATCATGAAGGCATTAATGCTGTTATCATGGGAGTAGTTTCCTGATAAAAGGTTAAGTTCAGCAACCTTCCCCCTCTCCCTTCTCTTTCTGTCTCTCCCTTGCCCTCTTGCCTTCCACCATGGGGTGATGCAGCTAGAAAGCCTTCATCTGACGCCCAGTAGATGGCCTTGGACTTCCCAGCCTCCAGAACCATGACCCAAAGAAATGTCTACTTATTATAAATTACCCAGCCTGTGGTAATCGGTTATAGCAACATGAAATGAACTAAGATACTTGCTCCTTGCTACTTACCCCCAAAAGTTGAAGACAAAAGTCTGCACATGGATGATTATAGAAGTTTGTTGGTTTGTTTTTTGAGACAGAGTCTTGCTCTATTGCCCAGGCTGGAGTGCAATGGCACGATCTCAGCTCACTGCAACCTCCGCCTCCCGGGTTCAAGTGATTCTCCTGCCTCAGCCTCCCGAGTAGCTGGGACCATAGGTGCACACCACCACCCCTGGCTAAGTTTTGTATTTTTAGTAGAGACAGGGTTTCACCATGTTGGCCAGGCTGGCCTCGAACTCCTGACCTCAGGTGATATGCTCACCTTGGCCTCCCAAATTGCTGGGATTACAGGCGTGAGCCACCATGCACAGAAAATTATAGAAGTTTTATTCATAAATTCTCAGCACTTGAAAGCAATCAAGATGTCCTTCAGTGGGTGAATGGATAAATAAACTGGTACATCCAGACAATGGAATATTATTCAGCACTAACAAGAAATGAGCTATCAAGCCATGAAAAGACATGGAGAAAACTTAAATGCATATTACTAAGTAAAAGAAGCAAATCTGAAACAGCCACGTCCTGTATGATTCCAATTATATGACATTCTGGAAAAGGCAAAACTATGGAAATAGTGAAAGAATCAAGGGTTGGCAAGGAGGAAGAATGAGTAGGCAGAGCACAGAGGATTCTTAGGCCAGTAAAACTATTCCGTATGATACTATAATGATGGATGCATGTAATTATGCATTTGTCAAAACCCATAGAATGTACAATACCGAGGGTGAACCATAATGTGATCTGTAGACTTTGGGTGATAATGACACATCAGTGCAGGGTCATCAGTTGTAACAAACGTAGCACTCTGGTGCAGGACGTTGATAGTGGCAGAGGCTATGCATGTGTGAGGGCAGGGGAGATATGGAACATCCCTGTACTTTCTGTTCAATTTGGCTATAAACCTAAAACTTTTCCAAAAATTAAAGTCTATTTCGAAGAAAACAAGAAATACCCATGATCAGTTTTTCTTGTCCCTAGGTGAAAGATGTCATAAGCTAGGGGAGAAAGAATAACAGAAGAAGAAATAGTGAGAGTAGATGCCAACCGGTACCCAAAGAAGTGCACTGTGCCTTGATCCAACGTTAAGGCATGTGACAAGGGAGGGACTGTGCCTGTTCCTGAGTAGAGCCCAGGAAAATTCCATGCTTCAGTGTTTCCTTGCACCAAATCATGTGCAGGTATGGTAGCGGCTGGGGTAGCTGCAGGTCATGTCTAGACAAGCAGGTCCGAGACTGCCTTCTTGTAGAATTCCCACAGGTCGCAGAATGTCGTGGGGTTGGAGGAAAGCCCAAGATTGGCACAGAGATAATACAGAACCTCCTCAAACAGCTCCCCAAGGCTCCTGCTGCCTGTGTGGCATGAAAGACACCGAGAAAAAGCCAAACCAGGAGAGCCTTGAAGTGCAAAAGTGACCCCCATGGACAAACATTCAAATCCCAGAGGAAACAGAAACTTCAGAGTGGATGCAAGAGAGGCTGCAGGATGGTGGCTGAAGACCAGAGGTCCCAATTTCCAAACCGATTTCCCCTCCTCCACTCCCCACCCCAGAATAAAAGCCCAATTCCTGCTTTGAAAGGAAAGGCCCTAGATTGGCTATGACTATGATTCTTCTGTTTACCAAGGGTGAGAGCTCAAAGTACCAAAAAAATGTTTAAGTTTGCTTACAGAAAAAGAAAGTTTTGTTTTATATGTATCTGAATTAGTTGGCTTTTGATTTTTCTTCTTCTTTTTTTTTTTTAGGCAATATTCACTGATCCAACCCCGAATGCTTTTAGTGACAATGATAATGAAAAGGATTCTGAGAGATGAATGAGACTCAGTATAATAAGAAGGAGAGAAGGCCGTATTATCGTTTACCTTACGAAAACTGGTAGCATATGTTTATTTTTTTTTAAAGCATTGGCTCAAAAATAAGATACAACAAAGATCATATGTGATATGGTTTGTTTCCCTTTCAAAATAGTAATGATGGTTAATCCAAGTGATTTATATGTATCATATGCCATACGGGAAGATCTCATGTCAACAAACTGTCACCATACCTCCTCCACAGACAGGAGCACAGGCATGCAGGAATAGAAGTAGCTTATTTGAGAGCCACACACCTAGCATTTAATGGAAATGTAGCAGAAATGCAAGCTGTGTGGCCGCAGGACATAAGTTCTTGGCCCCCTGTTGGAGGGCCTCTGATGCCTTAGCTTGCAACTGTGTGTAATCAATGGCCTAAGTTTTTGTTAGCTCATGTCAGGCCTCCACTCTGATATGGTAGGTCCACCAAGACTTGCTCTTGCTCAGCAACTTTAGAAAGAAAGACCCTGACTTCAGAGAATTGCCCAGGACAAGCTCCAGATGAGGCCTGAGTTCACTTCAACAAAAAATATTTCATGAAGACAAGTGCTGATGGCTGTTGCAGAAAGTAGGAGGCTCACTACAACTCGAGAGGCCAGCCAGGGTCACTCCTGCCCTCGTGGCTCTACTTAGGATTGACAGTGAAAAAGCAAAGTATACTTAGTTCATGGACTATTTTGGGCCGTCTCTAAATAAGCCATGTGAGAGATAGTGGGTCAAAGCTAATTTGTTTTAGATGGAGTATGAAGAGGAAGTACGGAACACAGCTTGGTGGGGTTAGGGCTCTTTCTCTTTGCTTTATAATTTGGCATTCAGAATCAATATGAATAACATGAGTGAAGAAAGTCAATTAATAGCCCAAGTTTTATTGCTAATAAAAGAACACGTACATACATAAAGCCCGATGGTCGATCTTCCCTGGAGGTGTCCGAGCTACTTGGCCTGAGGCCCAGGCATAACTTCAGTACTGTTTGTCCTGCTGCCACCAAGTGCAACGTCCTCACCTGCTGCTGGGCACAGGGGATGGAATCTGACCCGCTTCTGGGTTATTGTTGGACAAAAAGTGGTCTGGCTGTAGGTCAAAACAAATTTGGCCCTTTAAAGTCTCTGAGGGTTGGGGCGAGTCCTGAAAAACAGTCACAAGACCATAATAGGTTCCTTATGAGCACTTCTGTTCTCCAACGACATTGAGCCTGGTGTTCACAGGCGCTGACCTCAGAAGTGCGTCTCAGAGGCAGCCTGGGGCTGTAGGGAGGCACAGCTATAAATGGATGCTGTGCAGCTGTGAGGGGAGCTATTTTGGGATCCCAGGGGGTCTCATTTGTACTTCAGGTTAGGAAGCTTCCAGGTGAAGGCGTGTGATGTGGGAGTGGAAAGGGAGACCAGACCAGACCAGACCAGACATAGCCCTCCCTCCTCCTGCCCTCTTCCCCTGCTGGTTCCCCCAAGCCGTGTCCCCCTCTTTCTTCAAAGACTTCACCAGCACAGGGTCCTGGAGCCTTGTGGAAATGCAGGAGAAACACAAAAGGGGGAAGAGGGAGAAAGTGTCTCCCAGCCCCGAGTATTCAAGGAAATTGCCTCCTCAGCTGTGTTCTAGATAAGACTGTGCTGACCTTTGCAGGATGGGCAGAGATGCCAAGGCCTCAGGCTCTGTTGCCTTTTGCATCCACTTCAGTGGCTTTCAAATTGGAGGTAACCTGGAAGCTGACGTGAGAAGAGAGGGTGTCAGACCCGCCTTCACAGTTCAGCCCTGGCCCACTCTAAGGGACGAAGGAGTTGGATCCTTCTTCCTCACAGGCCTAGTGCCTCTGGCTTCAGTTGGTGTGACCTTAGAGCCCTCTGAGCAGTACAGCTCTGAAGGACATCTCCTCTTTCTCCCCACTTCAAGCTAACCTGAAATTACCTCACTGGTCATGTTAGATTAGAGGCAATGGCAGAGTAATGGTTTCTCCTATTGGCCCATGCTTAATGGATCAGATTAATGGCTGCCATTTTGAAGACAGCAGATGTAATTCAGCAGCTTACATTGCTTTACACATGTACACTTCAGAGACACACAGGTCTGGGTTAGAATGCTAGGTTGCTACATCTTAACTACGTGGCCTTTGGCAAGTCATCTCCCGGAGACTCAGGACCTCACTTACAAAATGGGAATAACTATCATTCTGCCTCAGGGGTCATTGTGACAATTAAATGTGGCAAAATACTCAGCACCATGCATGGCACATGGTTAGTGCTCCAAATAGGTAATTCATTTTTGTGATGGATATACTATATCCATTCTTACTAATGGATGGGGAAAGAGAAGTGAAGACAAGAACTCTTGCGGTTTGGGGCTACCCAAGACCCTAGTTCTGACATACCTTGTCACTGTTGAAGGACCCTCCTGCTATAGGCCAAATATTTGTGTCCCTCCAAAATTCGTATGTTGAAACCCAATCCCCAGTGGGATGGTTTTTGGAGGTAGGGTCTTTAGGAGGTGATTAGGTCATGAGGATGGAGCCCTCATGAATGGGATTAGTGTTCTTCCATGAGAGACGCTGGAGAGCTCCCTTGCCCCTTCTGCCATGTGAGGACTCAGTGAGAAGAAGACTTTCTATGAACCAGGAAGCAGGCCCTTGCCAGACACTGAATCTGCTGATGCCTTGATATTGGACTTTCCAGCCTCCAGAATGGTGAGAAATAACTTTCCATTGTTAATAAGATACCCAGTCTGTGGTAGTTTTTTATAGCTGCCCAAAGGGACTAAGACACCTCCTGAACTATGAAAAAGAGAAGTAATAAGGTGAGGAGAAGGGACCAAGGATGTAGTCCAACTCTCTCTGCCTTCTCATAGGCCTGAGGCTGGCCTGCAGGTTGAGCTCTGAAGAGTTTCTGATGTCTACAGCCCAGAAGACCAGGTGTTCTGAAGATTCCTGTCACCAGTGCTGAGATGTTCTGAATGAACAGCTCTACAGGAGAAATATAGCAATCAAACTACAAGGTACTATAGAAATAGAGTCCATATCCTCTCCTTCTTATGAGGAGATAAAGGCTCAGAGAGGTGAAGGAACAGCAGGGCCAAGACAAAGAACCAGGTCTTTCCCCTCCCAGGTCAAAATGCATAAGGTGTTGTAAACCAAGACAATTGTTAGACTAGAGTCTTAGAAAATCACTTGAGTTTACCCAGGTGACTTTTTGTTGTTTTTAGGTACTATCCAACTGAACATGGTAGAATGAAGGAATTGATTTTTCATCAGAAATCTATAGTTTGTAAATATAGCATATGGGGGTCTAAATTGTATTATTGTCTAAAAAAAAATCTTATTGGTGGATGGGAAGGTACAGTTCAGCCCACATTAAAGAGACTCATAAATCTATGAGGAAACTTCTCCAGCACCCCAAACACGTCCAGTGAAAACTCTGACCTCACCAGCATCTTGCAAAGGCCCACAATGAGCAAATGAACCTAGAAGGGGGACCCTGTAATTGAAGTGTTTGGTAAACAAGGGTCTTGGCAGCAAATATCAAGAGCCAGCTTGAGCTTCAGGAGCTTCTTGATGGTGGAACTTCCCCAAATTTGAGTTGATCCTGAGCAAATATGAAACTGTGTGCTGCTCAAAGAGTGTCTTGATTCTCAAGGGAACATAGCTTATCCTCATAGCCTTGGGCTTTCCAAAGGTCATATGAGGAAACTGTCTGCATTCCCTCTGTAAAGGCAAAAGTAATTATCTCTTATGTCCTTCAATGTCCCTTACAGTGTGACCTCATAATATATCATCCAAACCAAGACATGTTGAATATTAACAATTTCCTTGGGACAGCAGGTATAAACTGTGACTATCCTGGGCACACTAAGGTGTGTGGTTACTCCCACTTTAAAAAATCAACATGCGCAATCCATACCACCAATTAAAAAGAGCCAACGTGATGATTCCCTCTTGAAACATAAAACTTGGAGCTGTATGTCTTCTTTGAATAAATGCCTTTCTTTTTTAATCAGGCAACAAGGAGAGGAGACAGAAGCTATGCAACCTGATTTTTTCCCTTTTGCCTGAGCTCTGGGAAGTTCAGAATGAAGTTTTACTTCAGTTGTCTTGGATTCCCGGTATAATTGTCTTCTTCACCCCCATGTTCTGCTCTGAAGAGGCTCCTAACACAGCACATCGAGATAGAAAGCTGATTTTAATAAATGACTTCCAAATCCTTCTCAAGCAGGTCGATACAGCAAGCACACATCCTGGATTTTGTGTCAGTCTGATATCACTCACATATTCAGCCTTGCTTTCCTGATAAACTATTTGAAGATCTAAGGAATTACACTTCTTTGTCTTCCAAAATGATTGCATTAATCAAACACCTTTTGAACTCCTGCCATGCACTAGAAAGGTGACAGGGATATTATCAGTGAACAAAATAGACAAAAATTCCTCCCTTGGTGGAGTATACATTCTAGTGACGGAGATGAACAATAATTGATAAATTCACCAGATAATCAAATTATATAACAGGTTACGGGGTGATCATTGCAATGGAAAAAATAGCATAGGGTAAGGATAATTGGGAATGTCAATGGTTGGTTTGGAGGGTAAACTTTAAGTGAAGTGGGTAGGAGTCATTGAAAATATGACATTTGAGTAGAGTGAACATATAATTTATCATCCAAACTGAAAAACATTTAACAGGACAAAGGGAAGCTATTCATAATTATGCTGGGACAGCAGGTGAGAACTTGGACTGTCCTGGGCAAACAGGGACATATGATTGCCCTACATGTAAGCAAAGACTTGAAGGATGTGAGAATCAGCCTAGCAGATACATGGGCAAGGAAGGGTTCGGGCAGAGGGAGCAGAAAGTTCCAAAGCCCAAGCAGCCTTGCAAAGTAAGAAGATGCCCAGTGTGGCTGGAGGAGAATAAGCCAAAGAAGAGTGGTAAGAAATGAGGTCAGTGAGGTTCTGGGGACCCCAGATTGTGCAGCCTTTGTAAGGGTTTTGGTTTTTCTCTGATAGAAACAGGGAGCCATTGCAGGGTCTTGAGTCAGGCAGTAACATGATCTGGCTTATGTTTTACCAAGATTCACTTCGGCTGCTGTGTTGACAATAGGGTTGGTGTATCAAGGACTTGGAACCAACCCAAATGCCCATCAATGATAGGCTGGATAAAGAAAACGTGGCACATATACACCATGGAATACTATGCAGCCATAAAAAAGGATGAGTTCATGTCCTTTGCAGGGACATGGATGAAGCTGGAAACCATCATTCTCAGCAAACTAACACAAGAACAGAAAACCAAACACCACATATTCTCACTCATAAGTGGGAGTTGAACAGTGAGAACACATGGACACAGGGAGGGGACCATCACACACTGGGGCCTGTCGGGGGTGTGGGGGGCTAGGGGAGGGATAGCATTCAGAGAAACACCTACCATATCTAATGTAGGTGAGGGGTTGATGGGTGCAGCAAACCACCATGGCACGCGTATAACTATGTAATAAATCTGCACGTTCTGCACATGTACTTCAGAACTTAAAGTATAATTAAAAAAAGAAAATAGCGTTGGTGAGAAGGAAAGTAGGGAGGCAAGTTAGAAGGGAGCAGAGCCATAAAAGGGGTAAGAAGTCAGATTCTGGACATATTTTGAAGGTAGAACTGATAGGATTTTTTGTTGATTTGGATGTCAAGTGCATAAGGCCAGTCAAGGATGACTCTGGGATTCAGGCCCTGGGCAAGCAGGAATATAGAGGTACCATTAGCTAAGATGAGAAAGACCACAGGTGGAGCAGGTGGAAAGGGGAAAGGCAGTGATGGTCCAGGACATGAGGAATTTGGGATGTCTGTGACATGGAACTGTCAAGCATGCAGCTGGACAGACAAATCTGGAGTTCAAGTGGAAGACTCCTTCTGTAGATACACAACTGGGAGTCAGCAATTGTGAGAAGGCCACGTCTCCCCAGATCTCCCAGACCACCTAAAAGCAATGCAAAAACCCTTTTGCAGATCTAATTTTTGTTTCTGGTCAAAATAAATAAAATTAATCAGAATGCTCATCCTCAGAAGCCCACCACACATCTTGATTTTTCATGAAGTCTTTCCTAATTGCTGCAGTCCCTATGGTACCCTCTTAATTTATACAATTGTTTGCTTCACTGACTCATCAATTAATAGTTATCTATTGAACAAATTTTGTGTACACGGCCCTGTGCTGGGTGCTGTGGGGGTGGGGGGTGGGAATCGAGAGCACCTGGTCCCTACACCCAGCTGAGCAAGCAGAACGAATGTTACCCAAAGCACAGATTCCCTAAGGAGTCAGAGTCAGTGGCATGAAGGAAGTACCTCTTGAGTTGAGTCTTAAATGAGAAAGGCAGATTCTGGAGACACATTTTTTGGAAATCTAGGTGGTTGGTCTCCTAAAAGTCTTCTAGTTCCAAATATTTGAGTTTCTATGCATCTAGAGAAACTGGGTTTTTCAAAAAGTAGGAGTGAAGCTCTTGTCATTATCTAGGCATGAAGTCATGAAGGCTTGGCCTAGAGAACTGATGAGAAATGAAGAGTAACCACAGAACTAGGAGGCCTTTCAAAGGAAAGAAAGAACAATGGGATGACAGAGGAGAAGAGAAGCCAAGAAAGGGAAGCATGAAGCAGAGATTCCAGGCCTGAGAGGAGTAGTGGAGCCACTAGCTGAAGGGGGCATGGAGAAGGCATTGGTAGAGGAGAGCTCAGTTAGTGTGGGTCAGTTGCAGTAAGAGTGGAGCATCCAAGGCCAGGAGACTGTCAGGTCCAACATGGAGCAGAGGGAGTCAGCCATGTGAAGCCTCCTTTACGCCATGGGGCAAGATAAGCCCAAGAGAGAATAGATACCTGTGTTTGGGAATTAGTGACCTATGCATATCTCCATACTTTATCTCCTCAGCTTGACATCCTTCTCTCTTATATTATATTGGTCTAATGCGAGGCAAAATAATGTGGCTATTGAGCACACAGTGTCTGGCGTCAGGCTTCCTCCATGTAATTCCTGGCTCTACCCACCACTGGCTCTAGTGTTGTAATCTTGGCAAGTTACTTGGTCTCACCAAGCCTCAGTTTCTTCATCTGTGAAATGGGGCAGTCAATAGTTGTTGCCTCATAAGAGTTTTGAGAGTTAAAATAGATAACTTGGCACACAGAACATATTCAATCATGTTGTCATTACTACACATGGTCACATCTCAATAAATGTTCACTGACAGCACTGGAGGAAGAGCCCATGGAACTAATATTTTAAACTATACTATCTCTTAAAATAATTTACCAAGGGGAAGGTTAGGGGAAAGAATAAACATTTATTGAACCCTTGTTATATGCCAGCTACTCTACCAACTGCTCAGTTGACCCTCACAACAATCCCGTAAGGTTGCTGTGATCCCTAGTTTATAGACTAGAAAACAAGAGCAAGAAAAGGAAGGTTCCTCACCTTGTCCGAGGTCATAGAGCTAACAAGTAGTGTGTGTTTTTATGCATTTAAAAATTCCTAAACGATACATTCCCAATTGTTATCTATACTTTATATAGCCCTATATTGTATTTAAATTTCAACAATATCTATTATTCCTATGACCAGCAAAAAAAAAAAATATTATTTCCATTTTGGGAAATGGGGGAGAGGTAGGAAAGGTGAACAATCCCAGATGGGTTTTCTAGAATGAAGAACCTTGGGACTTCCTTGTAGAATGGCCAGCCTCAGCTGCAATGTTGCCCTGAGCCCCTAGGAAAAGAGTAAACTATGTGAAGCACTGAGGACTTAGGAAATAAGCAGAGAAAAGACAAAAAAGGAAGATGGGTAAGCATGTAATGCATTTGAAAGAGATTTCCATCTAAGATTGTTAAAATAATGGAAAAGATTTCATGCTTAAAGGGATAAACTTCCTTAATCTGTCACATACTCTTAATCCCTAGATGAGATGTCTCTGTTCTTGAAGAATGGACACAACTTCCTTATATACTGACCCCTGGGGCCCTGGACAAGGCACAATGGTGATTAATTCTGCAACTCTGATGTATTTTTATAAAAACACAGAGGACTCTAGACTCCAGATTAACTCTAAGGTCAAAGCTTATTCTTATCACCTCATAACATCCCTGTGAAAAAAGTACTAGAGAAAATCCATTGATGAGGGAAAAACCATCTCTGTAAAGAGCTGCTTCAATTAATTGAATCCTGCTTTCTAAAAAGCACCTCATTGATCAGTATCATATAAATACATGATACTGATCAATGCGATGCTTTTTAGGAAAAAAAACTTTTATAGAATCCAAGTCTTCTAATATTAGCAGATATGTCAGATATGTTAGTGGAGGTTACTCCATTTTTAAAATAACTTTTAAATGACTGTGCTATACTTCTAAGAATGCCTAAGAGGGAATTCATCTTTGACAGGAAGTAGAGAGGAGGTTTGTCCAGACTCCCAGGGGAAAATAAGATGGTCTGTTGAAAAGCAAGATGAAGTGACTTAAAGGAAAGCTTGAGAAAAAGATAAATGAAAAGAGCATCTCTATCAAAGTTTATGTTTTACATATTTTATTTCTAAAGAATTTTGATTCTAGCAGGTACATGAAAATGTACTTCAAGTCAACCAACAATTAATTACTGAACATCTACTTGGTTCCAGGCACAAAAAAATTAAGGAAGGTCCAGTCTGTCTTCTCAAGTAGGTCATAAACTGATTGCAATACAATGTGATAAATTCTATTAACACACACACAGTGCAATGGGTTAAAAGACGGGGTAGTATTTAATTCTGCAGTGGGCCTGAAGGACATAGGAGGTCAAAGAAAACTATCAAGAGATGCCTTGGGTTGAAGTTTTCTAGCATATCAATGATCAATTTAACATTCATTTGCATCTTATGGCCCACAAGCTCTCCAGAGTCAAGGAATTAGTTCTGCTATTCCTAACTTTGCTTTAGGAACCTCCTTGCTATTCTTAGCTCTCAAACAAAGACTGATGGGAAAACAGTGGAAGTTCTGGACCTTAAGAACAGATTGAACCATTAAAAAAAAGAAAGAGGCCGGGCGCGGTGGCTCACGCCTGTAATCCCAGCACTTTGGGAGGCCGAGGCGGGCGGATCACGAGGTCAGGAGATCGAGACCATCCTGGCTAACACGGTGAAACCCCGTCTCTACTAAAAATACAAAAAAAAAAATTAGCCGGGCGAGGTGGCGGGCGCCTGTAGTCCCAGCTACTCGGGAGGCTGAGGCAGGAGAATGGCGTGAACCCCAGGGGGCGGAGCCTGCAGTGAGCCGAGATCGCGCCACTGCACTCCAACCTGGGCGACAGCGAGACTCCGTCTCAAAAAAAAAAATAAAAAAATAAAAAATAAAAAAAAAAAGAAAGAAAGAAAGAACAGATTGAGGGATTTTTCTCGGAAGTTAGACAAATTTTAAAACTTTCAACCTAAGAGAAAAGAGTCAGGATAAAAATCAGCTTCCTCCCTCCAACAGAAAGCTAGTGTTACTTGGTAGAGATGGAAAGGAAAGAGACAACAAATACCATCCCACCCCACTTTCACTTTTACTCTCTCCAAAGAAATACCATCACCCCATCAAGTGTAGGATACACTAAGACGTAGGGGATGGAGGAGACTAGGGTCATCTCTGCATATTTAAACTTGCATCCAGCTACTTGTCTTGAATTCCACTCCTACCCTAAGGCCTTTGGCAAACTCAGGGAACTTAAAGTTATAACAGATTGACTGACAACCTCCCAGCTCACCTGTAATCCACCCTGGGCCCACATTCCCACACACTGAGGATTTGGTTGCTCCTATGTTCTTGTATTGGTCTTAGGGACCCAGCCCACATTGTCTGAGGTGACTGACCAAGCTTCCTGACTTGGCAGCAATGACCTGGATGATGAGGGTTACCGTTTGTTGTCCCTGAAGACTTTGGCAAGTTCATCAGTGTCCCAGTCCTCCCAGTATGACCAATAGGGTTCTTCTTTTCCTCCTTTGGCCACTTTTGAAACTACAAATCCTCAGGTCCCAGGGTGGGAGCACTTTCAGTTTTTCCCTGTGAATGGACCACTGATTTCCGGAGTGCTACCTGACTTCTGGTCTTTCCATCTCACTTGCTGCTCCTTAGGCATTTAGATAACACTTGTCCTTATTTGACCAGAGAGAGATTAAAACACAATGAAACAAAACCTTAGAAGCCTTGGCCTTTTTTTGGTGACCTCTTAGTTACCAACTTCTCCTCTCCTTCTAATAAAGGGATGATGTGTTTCTTTATCAGCTCTTTTTATGAGGTTTACCTAAAAGACAGTTGTATATTGCCTGCATGTGTCTAACAAATTAAGCCTCTTTTTTGGGGTGGGCTCGGTTGGGGGGGGGCTGCATTATACAAATCCAGCTGCTTGAAGAAGGACTAATTTCACCAAAACGGTGGACACAAAATATCACTGTATGACTGAATCCTTACTTGTTTATGTTCCTAGAAACAGCCTCTTTGGAGTTCATCCTTGTACTCATGAATGATTTCTTTCCCCATGCCTTTCAGATTATCAAAGACCAGCCCAGGTTCAATCTCCCCAGGAAAACTTTCCTGGCCATTGCAACCCATAGAGAAAAGGCATGGGCATCTCATGAACAGTAGACAACCATCAACATGGTGGCTTCCACAGGGATTCATTAGTAGTGGATTGAGGGTCAGGGTAATTTGGGGGTCACACAGTATCCAATTATCAACCACGAAATCTCTTCAGGGCCAGCCTGTCATACTGGGGCTCAGAGAAAGGGCCCAATTCCGTGAACTGAAGTGATAAGAACAAAATTGGACAGGAAAGCCAAACAAAAATTCATTCCTGGGACTATAAGCCCATGGGGGTGAGGAGAGCTATCATTTATGGAGTAAACGGAGTTAGGAGATCATTACAGGACATAGACTCTGCCTTCAATTAGCGTAAAAGATGACCCAAAAAACAATAGAGAAGTCCGGAGGCTTAGTGCTAAAGAAGGCCAGTAGGTAACAATACGGGTTATGGAATCTGGGTTCAGGTCCCGGCACCACTCTTTACTCGTTTACTTAGCTCTTAGCCGCAGCTTCCCCAGCTATAAAAATGATAATAATGTAAACATCCTCCCTGGGTTGTTATAAGGATTTAGTGAGATGATGGGTAAAAGGCACTTTTCTCCATGCTTAGCACATAGTGAGCTTTCAGCAATGTCAGCTATTGCTATCTTTCTAGCTCATAGCATTTGGACACATGGATACTGGGCCTGAGAGAGAAACCAATACCAAGCCCTACCAGAAAGGAAGAATGAGGGGCTGACTGGGGTATTCTAAATATGGTCTGGTTTAAGCCGGAAACACGAACAAATCATGGCAAAGGCAAAGAAAATGGGGCAGGAGAGCAACTCTGACAAAACCCACTTGTTTCTAGATTACCACGAAGATATTTTTGGTTTTTAAAGTGTAGCCAAAGGGCTTTGGAAATGGGAGGTATGAGGATAAACAAAGTAGCTTGGCATCAAATATAGAAAATGCTACACAAATGAAAGGGAAGAATCTAGCAAGTGAATCTGTCCACCTGTTTTTTATAATAAAAAATCTTGATTGTAGCCATTAGGGAGGGTCTACCTGGATCAGATTCAGATGTAGAGCCAGGATTCTTTACCTGTAGTTCATACATTTCCGGGTGATTCATGAAAAAGCTTGGGGGAACCCATGAACCACCCAAAATTGCGTGCAGTCTTGTATGTTTGTTTGCCTGATCTTTTGATGGGGAGAAGGAAGCAGGCTCAGATTCTCTAAATGATCCCCAACATTTTAAGAACCCCTGATTCTCTAAGAACACATGGACTTTATAAAGTCAACAAAAGGATTTTGGGGAAAGATCCACATAAGCGTAAATTATACAGCAATGTGTAACTAGAGCATGATGGTTAAAATGACAGTTTATGGAATATTCATTTGTCTTCAAAATCTGGCTGCATAACTGGTATAGTAGTCTCCCCTTATCTGCAGGAGATATGTTTCAAGACCCTTGGTGGATGCCTGAAACCTCAAAGAGTACTGAACCCCATATATAGATACTATGTTTTTTCCTATATATACATAAGTACATATGATAAACTTTAATTTATAAATTAGGCACAGTAATAGATAAATAATAACTAATAATAAAATAGAACAATAATAACAATATACTGTAATAAAAGTTGTATGGATGTGGTCTCTCTCTCTCTCAAAATATCTTATTGAATTGTACTCACCTATTTTCTGACTGAAACTGCAGAAAGCAAAACCCTGGACAAGTGGGGACTACTGTAGTTGTGTGGCCATGGGCAAGTTAATTAAGTCCTTTATATCAGTTAGCCAGTGCTGCATAACAAATCATCCCCAAACACAGTGACTTAAATTAACAATCATTTTATATTTCTTACAAGTTTGCAAGTCAACTGAGGTTTGGTTGACATAGGCTGGGCTTGGATACTAAAGCTCTGCTCTGCACAGCTCTCATCCTCTTCTCAGGACCAGAGGGAGCCCACATCATGTTCTTCTCTTGGCAATGACAGAGGCACAAGAGAGCAAGCAGCAACATGCAAAGTCTCTAAGACCTAAGCTCCAAACTGGCACATGGTCACTTTTGCCTCATTCCTTTGGTCAAAAGAAGTCACACAGCAAAACTCAGTACCAAGGGGTAAGAAAATACAGTGACAGAGTTCAGGACACACTATCCCAAAATATGGCACCTTGGCATCTGAGGAAACAGCAGGAGAAGGAAAGTCACTCTCACCTTCCTCTCGCTCTTCTCCCTTGAAGCAGGTCACAAAACCTAAGAACGATTTTCTGACCTTACCCTGAAATGGGTCATATAAGACCCCCATTCGCAAGATGTTCTCCCTATACCTGGAGGAAAGAAACATCTTTATCTCTGAAGACACAGGGTATCAGAGAAGAATCTGACCAAAGAGGCCTTGCTAAGTTCTCCCAGTTTATTACCATTACACCATAACCCTTTTGTCCAATTATTTGTCTTCATGATTGTCCATTATTAGTCAAACTTAGCATAAAAATACACAAGTTTAACTGTTTCTTTGAGTGTTCCTTTCCTTAGAAAGCTCCTGTGTCATGTAAAACTTATCTTAAATAAATTTGTAAGCTTTTCTTTTGTTAAACCATCTTTTGTTACAGAGGCCTTAGCCATGAACCTAGCAATAGGTGAGGAAAAGATACTTTTCCTCCTCTACAATACCCTGACCCTTTTGTGGAAAGAACAGCAAAGTTACATGGCAACGGCAACAGATATAGGGAGGAGAGAAGAACTGGGGCTACTGTTGCCCTTTCCCACCTCCCCTACACCTTTATTATTCCATTTGTGAAATGGAATAATAATAGATCATGCTTCATACCATTATGAGAGGATTAAAGGAGATGACATATTTTTAAATACTTTTCATGGTGTCTGGCACATTAGTGTTCAATACATAATATCTCATTATTACTAATAACTATTGTTATTGCTCCACTTTTGTGCTCTAGCAAGGCTTGGATGCCCCCCTTCTCCTTGCCCAGGTCCTCCCCTTCAGATATCCCTTCTATGTGCCACGGCTCTTGCTACCATCTGCAGAACCATTTCTTATTCTGTTTGAAATTACTCAAATCCCTCATTTTAAAAACATATGCTTCAGCCCCAATAGGAGGACCAACCATCATCACGTGGCCCTGCTATGATGTACTAAGAAAAGCACATCACTTGTGTTATATTCCTGCTAAAATTATATAACCTAAATCTTATTGCAAAGAAACACCAGGGAAAACCATATTGAAGGACATTTTACAAAATAACTGGCCTGTACTCTTCAAGAATGTCAATTATTAGCCAGGCACAGTGGCTCACATCTGTGATCCCAGCACTTTGGGAGGCCAAGACAGGAGCATCCCTTGAGCTCAGGAGTTCAAGACCTGCCTGGGTAACATATTGAGACCTCGGCCGGGTGTGGTGGCTCACGCCTGTAATCCCAGCACTTTGAGAGGCCGAGGCGGGAGGATCACAAGTTCAGGAGATCGAGACCGCATCCTGGCTAACGCGGTGAAACCCCGTCTCTACTAAAAAGACAAAAAATTAGCCAGGCATGGTGGCGAGCGCCTGTAGTCCCAGCTACTCAGGAGGCTGAGGCGGGAGAATGGCGTGAACCCAGGAGATGGAGCTTGCAGTGAGCCAAGATCGTTCCACTGCACTCCATCCAGCCTGGGCGACAGAGCGAGACTCTGTGTAAAAAACAAACAAACAAACAAACAAAAAACATAGTGAGACCTCATCTCTTCAAATAAAAAAATTAGATGGGTGTGGGCTGGGCGTGATGGCTCACACCTGTAATCCCAGCACTTTGAGAGGCGGAGGCAGGGGCATCACCTGAGGTCAGGAGTTTGAGACTGGCCTGGCCAGTGTGGCAAAACCCCATCTCTACTAAAAATACCAAAAAAAAAAAAAAAAAAAATAGCAGGGCATGATGGTCTGTGCCAGTAATCCCAGCTACTGTGGAGGCTGAGACAGGAGAATCGCTTGCCGGGAGGTGGAGGTTGCAGTGAGCCAAGATCTCACCACTGCACTCCAGCTTGGCAACAGAGTGAGACTCCATCTCAAAAAACCAAAACAAAACAAAAAATTAGCTGGGTGTGATTGCGCATGCTTATGGTCCCAGCTACTCAGGAGGCTGAGGTGGGAGAATCACTTGAGCTCAGGCGGTCGAGGTTGTAGTGAGCCATGGCTGCACTCCAGCCTAGATGACAGACTGAGACCCTGTCTCAGAAAAAAAAAAAAAAAAAAGAATGTCAATCATGAAAGACACAGGTTTGATCATCAGTCAGCAAACTATGGTCCTGTAGCCCAATTTGGCCTGCCACTCATTTTTTCAAATAAAGTTTTATTGGAACACAGCCATGTACAATCATTTGTGTATTGTCTATGGCTGTTTTTTGTATGCCAAGGCATGGATGAATAGTTGTGACAGAGACTGTATAGCCTATAACAAGCTTGCCAACCCACGGCCTGCAGGCTGCATGCAGCCCAAGGAGGCTTTGAATGCGGCCCAACACAAATTTGTAAATTTTCTTAAAACATTATGAGATTTTTTTTGAGGGTTTTTTCTTCTCATCAACATCATTGGTGTCAGTATATTTTATGTGTGCCCCAAGACAATTCTTCTTCCTCCAGTGTGGCCCAAGGAAACCAAAAGATTGAACACCCCTGGCCCATAAACTGAAAATATTTACTCCCTGGCCCTTTGCAGAAAAAAATTTTACCTACTTCTGGATTCAATAAAAATTTTGCTAAATTTCCTAGCTTTAACATTTGTACCGAGGTTATATAAAAGAATGACCTTGTTCTCAGAAAATCCACACAGTATGCAGGAGTAAAATGTCATTGTGTCTGCAACTTGCTCTTAAATGTTCAGGAAAAAAATTATAGAGAGAGAGGAAGGGAGAGGGACAGCATGGCAAAGTAAATGTGGCAAAATGTTAACACTTGGTGAGTCTGCATAAAGAATATGTTTTGGGGAGTTCTTTGGATATATTTGCAATTTTTCTGCACATTTGAAATGTTCTCAAGATTCTAAAAGGTTTTTTAAAAAATCTGCATGGGCTCTGCCAAAAGTGACTCTCAGAAGATTATCTCTCTTCCATACACTTTAGAAGATGCCCAGAACTCCTCATGCACTCCTCTCTTGAACTGCTTCTCTCTGTTTCCTTGGCCCTATGGCTTTGTGCTTCCCTGTAACCTGCACTTGTGTGCCCTGGCCCACAGCCCCATCCTATGTGGGACTGCAATTCTGTCTCCACATTATCTTCCTCTTCTTGGCTAGTTCAATAACTTTCTGATTGAGGTTTGATCTGAAAATTTCCCATACTGGACAGAAATATGGACTTTATAAAACATCATATGTGTCACAACTGAACCTGCTGCAGTGAAGGTGTTTCTGTTTTAATAATTTCACCCCCACTGTCACGGAGGCCACGAGCTGACCTAGTGAAAAAATCATTCAAGCTAGAAACCTCTCCATCCCTTCACCACACACCTCCTGTCCCCCTTCAGCCACATTGCTCTCAGGCTTCAGGTGGAGGAAGCTTGAGGAAAGGTGGTTGATACCTATTATTTTCTGCTCAGCAGGGTCTCAGTGGGACAGAATTTCATCTTAAAGGTGTGGGATTTAAAAAACAAAAAAACCCAACAAACTTCCCATACCTTGAGATGTGCTCATATGGAGTATAAACAGCTGATGTGTTACTCTAGAATCACACTCACCCAGAGCATTCTCTCCACACACTTAGTCATTCTCCCTTCCTGGACTGAGTTGGATAGAACTGGTCTGAAACTTTTAGAAAGAAGCAGAGAAAGCCTCTCTCCTTCCCTTTCTCACATATTATCTCATTTTCTCCACACAGCAATCAAGGAAGGCAGTGGAACAAATATTGCTATTTCCATTGAATAGGTCAGAATACTGAGGTTAGGAGAAATTAAATAACTACTAACTTAGGTCACATGAGTAGGAGTGGTAACATCAGAAATAGACAAAAAAGGCAAAGGGCGCATGTGCGGGATAGTCAGAAGAACAGAGAATGAGAAGCTGGTCATCCTGGCATTAATCCCAGCATCCTGCTAATTCCAGTTCCAAGGTTATGGAAACTTGGATTCTTTACTTAATGCCTGCAAACTTCAGTTTCCTCATCTGCAAAACCAGCATAATAAAATTTACTTCCTGGATAGGTGTTGAGGGTCAAGTGGAAGAGGCTTAAGGAAGGACATATGAGCACCTCATCCAGTGCCTACTAGACTCAAAATAACATAATTACTTCCCTTTCCTCACCTTCCCCTATCTTTTTCTTTTCTTTTCTTTTTTTCTCAGTCGGAGTCTCACTCTGTTGCCAGGCTGGAGTACAGTGGTGTGATCTCGGCTCACTGCAACCTCCACCTTCTAGGTTCAAGCGATTCTCCTGCCTCAGCGTCCCAAGTAGCTGGGACTACAGGCTCACACCACCATGCCCAGCTAATTTCTGTATTTTTGTTAGAGACGGGGTTTCAACATGTTGGCCAGGATGGTCTCAATCTCTTGACCTCGTGATCCACCCACCTTAAGTGCAATCCTGGTAGTCTGGGATATGAATGAAAATCAGCACCTGGAGAGGGCGCTCCTGAGCCAGATGATGTTAGCTAATGGGATCCTTCCATGCTAAGTACTGGGTTTGCAGATGGGATCAGAGGAGGTTTTACTGCCAAATAAAAGGTGGCACTCATGAGGACTGTATTTGCTAAGCACAACTTGTGAAATATGTGCTAGTAAAGCTGGGATAGCCTATTCATTTCTTTACGATTTTTTAAGGGCAACCTTGGGCATTATTTGCATTATCCTCCTTACTCTTAATGTTACTTAGGCTAAAGATCTGACATCTTGATTCCAGACAGAGACATAAGAGCCTAATGAATGGGATAAATCAGGCTCATTTTTAAGAACAACGAGAGATAGAGTTTTAATTTTTTTATTATTAGACTCGTAAGCCATTAAATATTAAGACTTTGTCAACGTGGCCCTGTGCACTGATAAATGAACAATGCCCACCAAGGTGTGTTCTTTTACTACAGGGAAGCTGGAAGAGTTCTGGAGACTGGACCCAGACAAGCGAGCTGGTTGGATGGAGCCCTTAGTCTTCATTTATAGGCAAGAGGCTACACTAGTTTGCACAACCCTAAATTGAGGCATGCTTTGGGAAATCTTCATATCTGCTGATGGGTGTTTAAGGCACAAGTGCTGTAGATGGTACCTGACCATAGGCTGAGGTGCTCTCTGAGTTCACAGTGGGCGGGGGTGGTTTTGGGATGAAACTGTTCCGCCTCAGATCATCAGGCATTAGTTAGATTCTCATAAGGAGCATGCAACCTAGATACCTCACATGGCCAGTTCACAATGGGGTTTACGCTCCTACGAGAAACTAATGCCATCACTGATCTGACAGGAGGCGGAGCTCTGGCAGCAATGCTTGCTGGCTGGCCTGCTGCTCACCTCCTGCTGTGCGGCCCAGTTCCTAAGAGGAACTGGTACTGATCCCTAACCTGGGGATTGAGGACCACTGCAACAGAGGACTCAGGACAAATGGGAGGTCTGCAGGCTGGACTCCTCACCCAGCCAGTCTTTTTATCAGAGACATGGTCCAAAGTCATGGAGGAGAATTTTTGTGTGTGTCGAGCAGAGACTTTCCTTACAGCAACCACTTCCCTCACACCAAAAGACCATTTTGGGGATCATGGAGGCCATTTTTTAAAGTTAAAAATGAACATGAGTGAAGGAAGCATTGTCCTGGGACACTCTCCGGCCTCCGTCTCTTCCCAGCAGCTTCCTGGTAACACCAGAGAGCACCTGAGCTATAAATGTGCAAGCACGATGCTGGCCCCTCGTGTGCACCAGGATAAGATCCTGGATCTGCTCCAGATGTAGCTTCTGACTTGTCCCTGACCTGGGCCAGGCCTGGAGGGCACCTCTCTCCATGTGCCTAATGAGAGGCCTGAGAGATTCCTCTCCAACACTCCTGGGACAGACATGAACGTGTCTGTCTCTCCAGAAGATATTCAGCTTCGTGTAATTACACCTTTTCCAAGCCATGTACAATGGAATTGTTGGAAAGGCCCCATTGACTGTGGGCTTGAGAATCAGTAGGCTCCAACTGGGACAGCTGATGATGATAATGATCTTGCATTTATACAGACCTTTTCATCCAGATGGATCCATAGAGCTCAGCAGAATTTACCACCAATGGTACAAGCATAGAGCCAAACTCTGCCCTCTGCGAGGTGCTGCTCCCACAGAGGTCACATTACTGCTGAGGGCCTTGGTCAACATTGGCCCTCAAGCAGGGGCATTTTCTGGGTCCATGCACTTGAGCTAGAGAAGGAATTTGCAAATCGCGATAGCCCTAGCACAAAACAGGCTGTGTGGGGGCAGCTGGAGAGCTGGTGCTGTGGGGAGCTGCACCTGTGTGAAGAAAAGCAGGATTCAGCCCTTTGCCATGTGCAGAATTCCATTCCTGCATGCCCCGCATGACAGGCAAGGACAGGCCAAAGTTGGGGAGACAGCTGAGTCCCGAAAAAACACTCATGCTGCCTCAAGATAAGCATTTCCCAAAGTGTATTCCACAAACCATTAGTCCTTCCTGGAAGACACTCCTCCAGCAGAAATAATTTGAGGGTCTTTTGAGAAAGGCAGCAGCTGGATTCCCCACCTGAAAAGTCATAATGCACATTAGAATATTAAAGGCTTTGAGGAGTCCTAAAATCAAGAAACCTATGTAACCTTAACCTGTGTATCCCAAGCTGGTTGCACCACAGCGCCCTTTTCTCCTTTGCAACATACTGCAGAACATGGTACGCATTTTGAATAATCTGCTACAGATTTAGACCAGTCTAAAGTAAAGTTTTCTGTCTCCATATTTTTTAATAAAAAATAATATATTCTGTTCAGATCTGAGATAATATCAGAGAGCTGACGGGTTGTTTATCCCATTTTATTTACTAACCATGGGGAAAGTGAAATCCAGGAGGGCTGTCACATGCCAGACAACAACTTAGTAGCAAAGGCAAGCAAAGCAAAAAAGGCAGCAAGCAAAGGGCTTGCAGATCATCAAAAGGTAACTGTATCTCCTAAATCCTGAAAGACACAAAAGCCAGGACTAGCCTTAGACCTCAGTTTGATCCCATGACCCATTATACATAATACAACTATAAATGTAATGACGTATTTTTTAAAACAAGATATACAGCGAAGAAATTCTACATAATCCCTGCCTTGTTTCCTGGATTCCATTGTATGTTTTCTTTTTTTTAGGTGAAAGGTAGATATGTAGTAGGATGCTCCAGCATTTTGGGTCTGAGATATTTGTGGGTTGAGGGTAAGCCTTTGGCATATCCATTAGAATTCCTGCAGCATTCCTGTACATGATTCCCTCCTCTCCACAGACACACAGAAACGTGCAAAGCAAACTCCTGAGAAACCATGAGGTGAGTAGGAAAAGCACTACTGAAGGATATAGCCCTAGACCCATGCTGTCTAATATAGTGGCCACTGGCCATGTGTGGCTATGTAAATTTAAAAGTATTAAAATATTAAAATTTAAAGTTATTAAAATAAAATGATTTAAATTTGTAGTTTAAAGATATTAATATAAAATGAAATTTTCAGTTCCTCAATTGCACTGGTCACATTTCAAGTGCTCAGTATCTGCACGTGGCTGGTGGCTACCACATCAGAGAAGTACAAATTAGAACATTTCTGTCATCACAGAGAGTTCTATTGGACAGTAGATGCACCACCACCATTTTAGCCACAACAGCGCTAGCGCAGGGCTTCTTGCTGCACTGTCTTCAGGCCAATATATAATCCTGGCTTTCTTCAAAAAGCAGGAAACCTACATGCTGAACAAAAGCACTTGCAGATCATCAAAAGGTAACTGTATCTCCTAAATCTTAAAAGGCAGTGATCTTGGAATGACCTAAAAGTATACCAATGCGATGCAGAAAATGCAACTGCAGTGTTTTTTGTCTACTTCCTCCCTCCAAGTTCCAAATTAAACTACCATACCCATCGAATGGACGGGACCACTCAACACCAAGATGTGAGCAATTTCATGGTACACGAATGTTTGGGGGGACTCCTTAATCTCTTTTATTACATCATCCTTGATAAAATATCACTATTTACTTAATATCTGATTACTTTGTCTTTATAGCCCTAAAGTAGGCTTTTGGACTAGATGATAGAGTAGTTTTAGATTCACAGCAAAATGAAGCAGAAAATACACGGAGTTTCAACATACTCCTCTCACTCTCCGACATCCTCCCCCATCATCAACATGCCCCACCAGAGTAGTCCATTTGTTGCAATAGATAAACCTACATTGGCACGTCAATATCAATCAAAGTCCATAGATTACATTAGAGTTGCCTCTTGGTGCTATACTTCCTAAGGGTTTTAAGGATGTGTAATGTCATGCATCCATCATTACAGTGTCACACAAAAGCTTCCCTGACCTAAAAATCCTCTGTGCTCCACCCAAACCCCTAGCAACCAAGCCCCTTTTTCTTTAATAATTCTATTCACTTTCTGGACATTCCTGAACCTAGCCGCTGCTGCTGTGTTTCCTATCTTCTCACTGGATAGACTGAAGTCCAAAAACATTGTGACTCTCCTACGATCACACAGGAGAGCAGTGGCAGACAAGAGAGGGGCTGGCTTTGCTCTGAGCACCCGGCTCTGGCTGGTGGGCAGACTTGCTGCACTCTAGAGCCCTCCCCCTTCTCTCATTTGTCACCATGACCTCATCCTCCCCACTGTGTGGCCTCCCAGCCAGACCCGGGCTGCAGGAGCATCATCATTGCTGATTTTGTTCTGGGATTCGGATGTTCATTCTTTTCTCAGGATCCCCCAGGTTGCTCAGACAGAGTGGCTGCCAGTCAGCCCCAAGAGTCCTGGAATTTGGCCTCAAACCAAGTTTGCCTGGGGCCAGTGCTCTGCCTCTCCCCAGCCCCGGCTGGCAATCAGAGGAGAAAGACTGAACTAAGCTCCTTGGCTCAGGGAAGAGAGCTTCACACTTGAGTTTTAACTTCCAGCTTTCTTAAAAATTCCCAAGGGAATTTTGCATTCCTCGGGTGGCAAAAGATGTACAGTATTTCCCTTTAAGCAGAAGCATAGTTTTCTCGGAGCTGCATCATCTGGGGTCAGTCCAGCTTCTAGGGTCCTTTTCTAGTCCTGCAGTGGCAGAGCCTACTCTTCCTCCATAGTAATAAAACGTTGAGCTGCGCACCGTGGCCACTCAGAATAACACTACATTTCTCCATTTCCCTTGCGGCTAGGTGTGACAAGCTCTGGCAATGAGAGTTGTATAGGCTTGGGGTGTGCACCTTCCAGGAAGAGAGGGAGTGTGAACTTCTCCTCCCCTTTCTTTGTTCCTTCTGGCTGGAAGGGGGGCATAAGAGCTGGATCTAGAGCAGCCCACTTGGGCCATGAGGTGGCCTTGAAAATGGACCTATGAACCACAGATAAATAAGACAGAAAGAGCCTGGACTCCTGACACTAGGTAACATCACACCAGCCTTGGACCACCTTCCTGGATATTTGCATGTGAGAGAAATAAACCTCCAATTGTCTTTAAGCTACTTGTGTGGGGTTTACTGCCATTCACAGATAAGCCTAATGCCAACTAATATAGCTGCTCCAAGTAGTGATAGTAATAACAATATGTAGAAGAAAGACAAGGAGAATAATAGCTGCAACTTTGAATACTGATTGTGTTTGGGGAACTTCACTCAGCATATTAAACAGAGAATATCATTTAATTCTCACAATGGCCCTCCAAGGTGGATAGTACAATCACCATTTACCAATGAGGAAAGTCAGGTGTGGAAAGAACAAGTAACCTGCTTAAGGTGATTCATTAATAAAAATCGAGGATGAGATTCAAAATACTACTCTACAAACAGGAAGGGCTGAGGCCAGGAATTAGGACAGAGAGCAGCAGCAGGTCAGGCAAGGGGAGACAGTGACCCAACAACACTGGATCCCAAACTGTATGATGAAGCACACTGAGATGCCACAGAGAACACTCAGGGCTGCCTCGGAGAGTTTAAAATTTCAAGAGAAACACAGCAGTACTTGACATCTATCAGATCCAGTGCAAACCTCATAGTTTCAACATTGTTTCATGTGCTTCATTTCTTTCCATGTTAGAACAACTGGGGGAAAGTTTCGCTGTTTCTACTGAAGATACTAAGAAGTAAATCTGGAACTGCTGGTGACCATGCCTGATAAGGGATCCAAAACAGGAGAGAAGAGCCAAAAGACACCTGAGAGATATTTGGAATACCATCATGTGAGCACCCATATCCAGGCATCCATGAAGTCTTGCTCATTCAGCACCATGAACAACTTTTGTAATTAAACCTCTTTGAACTGGATTTCTGCCACTTGTAACAGAAAGAGTCTTGGTTAATACATCTACAGTGGGCTTTAAAAATTGGCCAATGAAAAGAAACTGAGAAAAAAAGGTCTTGCATTTGAAGTAATTCCTTAGAAGTGTAAAGAAGCCAACCTGGCCAGGTGCGGCAGCTCACACCTGTAACCCCAGCACTTTGGGAGGCCAAGGTGGGCGGACCATGAAGTCAGGAGATCAAGACCATCCTGGCTAACACAGTGAAACCCCGTCTCTACTAAAAATACAAAAAAAAATTAGCCAGGTGTGGTGGCGGGCACCTGTAGTCCCAGCTACTCAGGAGGCTGAGGCAGGAGAATGGCGTGAACCCAGGAGGCGGAGGTTGCAGTGAGCCAAAATCGCGCCACTGCACTCAATCCTGGGTGACAGAGTGAGATTCTGTCTCAAAAAAAAAAAAAAAAAAAGAGAGAGAGAGAGAGAGAAAGAGAAGCCAATCTGAGGGGTTCCCATTGGCAAATAAGAACTTGTAAGGATTTGGGCAAGGGGGTGAGATGAGGAGGTGATGTTATCTACTATGGTCCTAAATCATTCTGATTCACTAAGACATGGTGGTCTCTCTGGCAAAGAGGCAGAAGGCATCTCCTCACCTCTCCAATGTTGAAGATGTCCATAACCTTGCCCAAGATGTCTCTTCAGTCTCATGTCCTTACCTTCAGTGATCCCTCCTATGTAACATCTGCTACATAAATTAGTTTAGGGTAGAACTAAAGGCTGTTGACTGTTTGTTACCTCAGCCACTTACTATCAATGGGATTTTGTAATAATTCCTTGTCAAGCCTCAGCTTCCTTATCTATAAAATGGGACAGTAATTCCTCTTCCAAGGTTGTCTTGGGAATTATACTATAATATATATGCAAATGCACCTACCACAGTACTCAGCACCTGGTAGACACTGTGTAATTGTGAGTTCTCGCCCTACCTTTTTAATCTCACAGGACTGAGCACACAAGGGGGAATGATTGTTTGGTCCTTTTGGAGATCAGACCCAAATTTGCATTGAATTTACTTCGCATCCACTCTCTCATCAAAACAAATGAAGACTACCATTTAATATTTAGGTTAAGACATTAAGATTCCAGTGTTCTCTCAACCACAACAACCAGTATTTACTGAACACTTCTCATGTTCCAAGTACCATGGCTAGTTCAACAACACGGTAGTGACTATGATACAGCCTTGACCTCAGAGAATTACCAGTCTAACCTTGGCTATGGGGTATAGATAGATAAGGGTTTTTACAGAGCAAAATCATTTGTACAAAAGTCTTTGTAAAGGCTCTGACTTTAGAGGCTAGAAATAACATAAAGGGTCATTTATTCCAACTACCTCTCCTCTCTCTTTTGACGTTTGCAACCTTGACACAACATACCCATGATTGTTCAACGCATGCTTGAACACTTCTCCTGATGGGAGACTCACCCTCCCCCCACAAAGGCTGCCTAGTGTGTCTTTGCACAGCTCCAACCATTGAGAAGTACAGATAGGAAGTTTTCTCTGACTTGAAAGTGTCAGCTATTCTATCAGCTCTCTGCCTGAATCTGACAGAGAACAAAATGGGAATTAGATACGTGTGGTGGTTTCAGCATGAGACAGTTACTCAGTTTAATGCCAAATACAAAACAGAGAAGAAGAGGGAATGCATTTGCCAAAGGGAGCCCTCCCCATGGGCTTTGGCTTGGCCCCAAACTGTTTGACAAAGAGCCACAAACATGGCATGGTCAGAGCACGTCAACCAAATGCATGTGTTCCTCCAAGGGTGGAAAAATATTTGGCCTCCATGAAAACATTATTATTATTATTATTATTATTATTATTATTTATTTATTTATTTATTAACAGTTCCTTTCAAATTAGAGTCTGCCTTTATTTTTACTTTTTATTTTTTAAAATCTCTCACTTTCCTGTCATTAAAAAGTTTGGGCTGGGCACAGTGGCTAATGCCTGTAATCCCAGCACTTTAGGAAGCTGAGGCGGGAGGATCACGAGTTCAGGAGTTCAAAATCAGCCTGGCGAATATGGTGAAACCCCGTCTCTACTAAAAAATACAAAAATTAGCCAGGTGTGGTGGCGCACACCTGTAGTCCCAGCTACTCAGGAGGCTGAGGCAGGAGAATTGCTTGAACAGGGGAAGTGGAGGTTGCAGTGAGCCGACATGGCACCAATGCACTCCAGCCTGGATAACAGAGTGAGACTCTGTCTCATAACAAGAAAAAAAAAATAGTTTGATCTTTAACATTAGCCCTTCTCTTAAATTAGTTCCTCCATCTAAACCTTTGCTGTCCAACATAGTAGCCACTAGCCATGTTTAAATAAAATTTAAAATAATCCAGTGTCTCACTCACACTAGCCATGTTTCAAGTGCCCAGTAGCCAAGTGTAGCTAGTGGTCACCATATTGAACAGCACAGATATAGAGCATATGCATGGAAGCAAGTTCTACTGGACAGCCCTAGTCTGCTCTAGAGTGACTTTGACCTTGAATTGCTTATTAATATGGAGGAAACAAGCATGATTTTTTTTTAAACCAGACAGACCTACAGTCTAATCCTAGCTCCACATCTTAGTAACTGTGTGACTTTGGACAAGTGATTGGACCTCCCTGAGCATCACTTCAAATCCTCCTCCCATTGATGCCACTGGAGAGGCCCCATCCACATGCATTATTTGCACCTCTCATTACACCGCTGGCAACAGGCTGCCTTGGATCTGAGTTACCGATGCATGTTTCTGGCTTTCCCACTAGCCAATGAGCTCCTGGGGACACATTCATCTTGCTACCACAGGGCCGTACTCGTGCCAGGACCTCAATCAGTATTAGATTGAATTAAATCACCTTCTGTGTGATATAGGCCAATTTAAATAGGGTGCAATTCATGGTCTCTCCTGATGGCTCCAAGAAAAAACCAAGACTTGAATAACTAAGAGGTTGGTTGAATAGCTCATTAGTGGGTCAACATAATAACAGCGTAGTAGCAAATGTTTACTGAACATTTACCACGTGTCACTGTGCTAAGTGTTTTACATATATTTAATCTTCACTGAAATAAGATGGATACAAGTATCACACACTAGGTTGCAGATGAAGAAACTGAGACCCAGAGAGACTGGGTAATTTCCCTTAGGGCACACAGCCAGTCAGAAGCAGAGCTGGTGTTAAATCTAGGCTGACTCCAGAGATCACAGGCTGGTCACTCTACTCAGTTGCTTCCTGTGGGACATTAATGATGTCAGTTCTACCTTGAGGTTCAAGAACCCTCACAATGAAGCTGCAAGTGCTGAGTCCTAACCTACCAACAAGATGACCAGAAAGTTCCAAACTTGGTTTTGTACAATCAAACCAGCCTCAAGCA